>NC_000015.10:22705694-22879421 GCF_000001405.40 Homo sapiens
TGAATGTTTCTCTTTCACCACTAACAGATTGTGTGTGTGAGCCAGATTTTATTGCAAGTGTTTGAAAGACTATTGCAAATATCGGATATTGCCAGACAGTTGGTAAAAAGCAAATTGAGTCTATTGAGAAATTAATTCACCAGCTGAAGGAAGTACATTTGCCTTACAGTCATCAGATATTCTACCCACCAGACTCATCTCCGAGATAGCATCCTAATGAGCTTCCTAAACCAACTAAACATAAGCAGGAAGCATCAGTCGTCAAAACTGACTCTTTTCAGCCAATCAGCTGACTGCACAAACTGCATGGCATTGAGGAAAGGAAGAACATTCTGGAAGTTTTTTTTTTCATTCTGCCCTCACTTTGTTGGTTTCTGTTTTACAGATGCAGTGTCATGCGCAGAACCCTGTAAATGAGCATAGTTCATTCAAGTATATAAAGTGCTTTCGTGTATTATTATTCAGTGGAATAAAATGAATGTTAACAGGCTTAAGTGATTTTCCTAAAGGCACACAATTAATGTATGGCTGGAATTCAAAATCGGGTCTTTTCCTCTGTTCTGATTGTTCTATAAATAGGGGTGTAGTGATTGATTTTCTACCCACCATGACAGGGAATAGGTTCAAAACTTAAAACCCTGTTCATTTTATAATTAGGTAGACTCAAATGACAGGTCAAGGCAGGGAGGGGAGCCGGTCATTTTTATTTCCATATGGGTTTGCTCCTTCAAAGACAGGATTGGGGTAGCAGGGTCAGTTCCTACAGGTTATAACGATCTTAATGATAAAGTTAACTAACCATAACTGAATACTCATAATGTGCTAGCACTTTTCATAATGTATCCCAAATAATACTCACAAAACCTTCCAAATAAATATTACCTTTTTGTTATCTTTGTTTTATTTTGTTTTGTTTTGTTTGAGACAGGGTTTCAGTCTGCTGCCCAGGCTTTAGTGCAGTGATGCAATCATGGTTCACTGCAGCGTCAAACTCCTGGGCTCAAGCAATCCTCCCACCTCAGCCTCCCAAGAAGCTGAGACTACAGGCATGCACCACCACTCCCAGCTCCAAATAAATATTCTTATCCCATTTTACTGATGCAGAAAAACGTATGGCCCAGAGAAGTAATGTTAAGTTTATTGGGGGATTTAAGTTGTAAAAAATTATTTTATCGAACCCTAATGTAAACTATGGACTCTAGGTGATAGTGATGCGTCAGTGTAGGTTCATCGATTATAACAAATGCATCATTCTGGTGCAGGATGTTGACAGTGGGGGAAGCTGTGTGTGTATGGGAGTAGGGAGTCTATGGGAACTCTTCTACTTTCCACTCAGTTTTGCTGTGAGTCTAAAACTACTCTAAAAAATGAAGTTTATTAATCAAGAAAAAAATTCTTATATTTTATGAATATATGGGACAGCTATTCATGTATGTGGTAAAAATGAAGAGATTTGTTACAGTACTCGGCAGGAGTGTGTCTAATATGACTGATATTCATGTGTCACATAAAAACTGGCTTCATAACCAATCTGTAGATTCATTTCATTTGTGTATGTTCACTTAAGGGCGCACACATGGAAACCCTTTGGTGTTATTAGAGGTCTGTTGGGAGGGCTCCTCTTTGGTGGAAGCTATGTCTATTTCTTAAAAGTGATTTAAGAGTAAGATGTGAAATAGCACTCGCCCCCGAGGATGGAGCCAACAGAGGATAGGGGAGTTATTTGATGCTGTCTCTGAGAGACTGGAGAGAGGAATATAAAAAGTTTATTCCTTAAGAAAGAATAGGGGAGGACTTCCTTACCTGATATCTCAGATTATGAAGCTACAGTTCTCTCCCTGCTTTAGGGAAAAATAATAATAACAGACTTTTGCAAAAATCAATTACTGAACATATTCCTATATTCTAGATTTATAATGAAGCATTTTTGTACATATTCATTAAAAAGAGTAATTAAAATATTTTTCTCTGGTTTATAGTAACTAGGATGGCAACACAGATATATCTTGGAAGTATTTCGTGGTATGATTCTTCAACATAAAACTATTCTTAAAAACTTCTTAGAAGTCTCCAGGTACTCAGGAATAAGGTCATTATAAATTATTCCTTATTGACCATAAGAAAAATAATTAGGCAAGACCACAAAACTAAATGTTTAGACTGTTTCTCCTGTTTCCTGATTTTCAGGTTATTTTTTATCCCAATTTTATTTTGCTGTATGGTCATACATTTCATCTTTGAAATAAAGTATATAATAATCACTTTTTTTTTTTTTGAGACAGAGTCTCGCTCTGTCGCCCAGGCTGGAGTGCAGTGGCACGATCTCCGCTCACTGCAAGCTCCGCCTCCTGGGTTCACGCCATTCTCCTGCCTCAGCCTCTCCAGTAGCTGGGACTACAGGCGCCTGCCACCATGTCCGGCTAATTTTTTGTATTTTTTTTTTTTTTTTTAGTAGAGACGGGGTTTCACCGTGTTAGCCAGGATGGCCTCGATCTCCTGACCTCGTGATTTTCAAAGCTGTTTGAGGGCATTTATCAGGCTTTTAACTCTAGGTACTCTTTCCCGCAGTGTGAAGGCCAAGAGAAGGGATCCTGGGCTCTCTTCCCTGGCCCGAGGACGGGAATTCAGGGGGAAAATTCTTATCTACTCTTATCCCACAAAAGAAAACTTATTCATCAGTTGTCAAGCTAAGGAGCTTCAGAGTCCATAAAGAAGGAAATTGCTAAGAGGTTATCAGTAGTGTCCACCCCCCATCCCCACCTGGGGTCACGTGGAGAATGATGGTGGGGGCGCCGATCTTGTCCTACTTCAGGTGAAAAGCAGGGGTGTGGGGGGGTTTCATTGTGAAGGGCTCCTTTGTTAAAATTCCTTCCAATTCCAGGAAAAACATGCACTCCAAAACCATTATCTCTTTTACTTTGTACTAGGGGACTTCCAGGAAAGAGAGAGAGGAGAAAGAAGAGGGCAAAACAACTGCAGTGAATGTAGTCACCTCTCCAATTGCCTTTCTTGTTGCAGAATATTTCACATTCCAGGAGTTTCCTTCTTGACCTCTGGACTGTTGATACACCCAAGATCTTAATATGCTTTCAATCACAGGTTAAAGACATCAAGCGCCAGATCGCTTGGGCCTAGGAGTTCCAGACCGGCCTGGACAGAATAGTGAAACCCAGTCACATTTTTTTTTTTTAAGGGGGAGATTTGCTCTTGTTGCCCAGGCTGGAGTGCAGTGGCGAGGTCTCGGCTTGCGGGACCTCCGTCTCCCGGGTTTGGATGGTTCTCCTGCCACAGCCTCCCGAGTGGCTGGGATTGCGGTGTGAGCCACCATGCCCGACTAATTCCCTAACTGTGCAACTGCAAGGTCACTAAATAAACTCAAGTCACAAAACATATTTTTCCTTAAATAGTAAAAAATAATATAATGTATGTTTCAATTAAATAAGTATCTTTGTTTCTCGCTTCTATAATATGCTTCTCCCTGCACAGATCTCCCCCTTCGCCCCACATAATGCTTGAAAGGTAACTCTTGGTTCAGTACTCAATCCTTTAAATGTTAATCCGACTGGGCGGGTGCACCTAAATAATTAATAAATGTTCTCCTAAATCCCATGAGTCTATCTAATTCCTTAAAAATCCCGCTACAGGATTGCAGGTGTGAGCCACCGCAGCCCAGGCCAATTTATTAATCAGAGAGGAATAGATGGGCCTGGCTTGGTGGCTCGCGCTTGTGATCCAAGGACTTTGGATGGCAGAGCACTGGGGATCATTTGAGCCTAGGAGATCCAGACAGGCCTGGGCAACATGGTGAAACTCGGTCTCTCTCGTTTTTTTTGTTTTTTTTGTTTTTGAGGCGCAGTTTCGCTCTTGTTGCCCAGGCTGGAGTGCAGTTGTGCAGTCTCGGCTCCCCGCCGCCTCCGCCTCTTGGGTTTGGATGGTTCTTCTGCCTCAACCTCCCTAATGGCTGAGATTGCAGGTGTGAGCCACCATGCCTGGCTAATTTTCTTTTTTCTTTTTTTTTTTGGTACACACAGGGTTTCCACCTGTTGGTCAGGCTGGTCTCAAACTCAGGACCTCAGGTTATCCGCCCGCCTTGGCTTCCGGGGGTGCTGGGATTGCAGGCGTGAGCCAGCACACAAAGCCCAACTGATTAATCAGAAAGGAATAGATCGGCCTGGCGTGGTGGCTCACGCTTGTGGTCCCAGGACGTCGGACGGCCGAGCGCGGGGGATCGATCACTTGAGCCTAGGAGTTCCACACCGGCCTGGGCAACATGGTGAAACCCGGTCTCTCTTCTCTTTTTTTTTTTGGTACAGACAGGGTTTCTCCATGTTCATCAGGCTGGTCTCAAACTCCCGACCTCAGGTTATCCACCCGCCTCCTCGGCCTCTGGGGGTGCTGGGATTGCAGGCGTGAGCCAGCGCGCCCAGCCCAGTTTATTAATCAGAAAGGAATAGATCGGCCTTGCATGGTGGCTCACGCTTATGATCCCAGGAATTTGGACGGCTGAGCGCGGCGGATCGCTTGAGCCTAGGAGTTCGTTCCATACTTGCCTGGGCAACATGGTGAAACCCGATCACTTTTTGTTTTGAGGCGGAGATTGGCTCTTGTTGCCCAGGCTGGAGTGCAGTGGTGAGGTCTTGGCTCAACGGGCCTCCGCCTCCCGGGTTTGGGTGGTTCTCCTGCCACAGCCTCCCGAGTGGCTGGGATTGCAGCGTGAGCCACCATGCCCAGCTCATTTTGTTTTTTGTTTGTTTGTTTTTGTTGTTGGAGATGGGGTTTCTCCATGTTCATAAGGCTGGTCTCAAACTCCAACCTCAGGTTATCCGACCGCCTTGGCCTCCCTGGGTGTTAGGATCGCAGGCGTTAACCACCACGCCCGGCCCAATTTTTAATCAGACAGGAATAGATCGGCCTGGTGTCATGGCTCACGCTTGTGATCCCAGGACTTTGGACGGCTGAGCGCGGTGAATTGCTTGAGCCTAGGAGATCCAGACCCGCCTGGGCAACATGGTGAAACCTGTTTTTTTGTTTTGTTTTGTTTTCGAGGCGGAGTTTCCCTCTTGTTGCCCAGGCTGGAGTGCAGTGGCGTGGTCTCGGCTCCCCGGGCCTCCGCCTCCCGGGTTTGGGTGATTCTCCTGCTTCAGCCTCTTGAGTGGCTGGGATTGCAGGTGTGAGCCACCATGCCCGGCTACTTATTTATTTATTTATTTATTTTGGTTGAGATGGGGTTTCTCCATGTTGGTCGGGCTGGTCTCCAGCTCCTAACCTCGGGTGACCCGCCGGCCTCGGCCTTCCGGGGTGCTGCGATTGCAGGCCTGAGTCACCGCGCCTGGCCCGAAACCCAGTCCCTTAACTGAAAAACAAAACAAAAACCACAAAGATTAGCGGGGCCTGGTGGGCCCGGCGGGTAGTCCCAGCTACTCTGAAGGCTGATGTAGGAGGATTGCTTGAGCCGGAGAGGGGTGGGGGTGAGGTGGCAGTGAGCCATCATGGCGCTGCTGCAGTCCAAACTGGGCGATAGAGCGGGACTATGTCTCAGGAAAACAGAAAGGAAAAAAAAAATAAAAGTACATAAAATTGCTAAATCAAGGAACAGAGCTTGACAGTATATTATTGAGAGAAATAGAGGCAAAGGTGAGCAGACACCAATGTTCACTTAGTGGAACTGCAGGTGTCCCCAGACAGGAGGCTGCTACTTTTCGAAAAGAAATCTATTATTGACAACAACAACAACAAAAAAGGTGGTTTGTTAAAATATACAAATAGCTAAACTTTATATAGCCACGACCCTCTTCTAGCACTGCTCTAAGCCTTTTCCTGCTCTGGAATAGCTACTATTGTTACCTCCATTGTAGAGAAAACAGATGCCAGAGGTTGTTGTGGAAGGACCAGGGAAACTGACTAGGAAATCGACTTGTAAGTTTAGGACTTAAAGGTTCTTCCTGTTTTGCTCCTTACATTGCCACATTTTAGTTAACATACCTCTTAAAATACTGGTCCTTTCTATATTTGGAGGGATTCGTGTTGCAGTTTGAAGTTTTTTCTTGCACTAAGCATTTGGTCAGAAGATCCTGTGCGTTTTATGTCAGTTTTAAGTTAAACATTGTTCAGTAAGGAATGTAAATATGAGCAAACAGTTACCTGATTAAATAGAAAACCTAGAAGAAAAATCACCTATGAGAAAGTCAAGAAAATGTGAACTCTGGATTTGTGGCTATTTTCAGAATATTAATTTTTTGGTATTTAATGGCATTGTGAATATATTTATTTTTAAAAATTCCTTGTCTTCTACAGATACATATACGGTAATTAAAAAATGATATGATGTGTAGATTTTACTTCAAAATAATTCAGAGGAAGAAGGAATGTATATAAATGAAGTGGGAGTATAAGTGAAACAAAACTGGCTGTGGCCAGGTGTGGTGGCTCATGCCTGTAATCCCAGCACTTTGGGAGACGGAGGCAGGTGGATCACCTGAGGTCAGGAGTTCAAGACCAGCCTGGCCAACGTGGTGAAACATCATCTCTACTAAAAATACAACAGTTAGCCGGATGTGGTGCTGGGTGCCTGTAATCCCAGCTACTTGGGAGGCTGAGGCAGGAGAATCGCTTGAACCTGAGAGGCAGAATTTGCAGTGAGCCAAGATCATGCCACTGCACTCCAGCCTGGGCGACCACAGCAAAATCCCACCTTTAAAAACAAACAACAACAAAAAAACAACAAAAACCAAAAAACTGTCCATGCCATGAATGAAAAATTGTTGATGATGTGTATATGTAGGGCAATTATAATTTTTCTCAACTTTTTTTACATCTGAAACTTTTTATTGAACTCATGCACACGTCCCTTGATAAGTGGGGCTGCTTCCCCATTACTCTCTCAAAAGAAAACCTTAATTTACTATGTGACCTCTAAGTATCTCAGCTGAAAATTGTGAAGATAGAAAGGTAAATCAAAAGATGCAGATAATCATGCACTTAATGAAGCGCTAAATCAAAGTATTTTTGGCACATGTGAAAGAGTTTCATTTTATCACATTTTTTACTGGTACTATAGCTATTTGCAAGTACATATAAAACTACAGTGTTACATATAAACTACCAAAAAGCAACTTTTTTTAAAAATTTTATTATTATTATACTTTAAGTTTTAGGGTACATGTGCACAAAGTGCAGGTTAGTTACATATGTATACATGTGCCATGTTGGTGTGCTGCACCCATTCACTAGTCATTTAGCATTAGGTATATCTCCTAATGCTATCCCTCCCCCTCCCCCCCACCCCACAACAGGCCCCGGTGTGTGATGTTCCCCTTCCTGTGTCCATGTGTTCTCATTCTTCAATTCCCACCTATGAGTGAGAACATGCGGTGTTTGTTTTTTTGTCCTTGTGATAGTTTGCTGAGAATGATGGTTTCCAGTTTCATCCATGTCCCTACAAAGGACATGAACTCATCATTTTTTATGGCTGCATAGTATTCCCTGGTGTATATGTGCCACATTTTCTTAATCCAGTCTATCATTGTTAGACATTTGAGTTGGTTCCAAGTCTTTGCTATTGTGAATAGTGCTACAATAAACATATGTGTGCATGTGTCTTTATAGCAGCATGATTTATAGTCCTTTGGGTATATACCCAGTAATGGGATGGCTGGGTCAAATGGTATTTCTAGTTCTAGATCCCTGAGGATTTAGACACACTGACTTCCACAATGGTTGAACTAGTTTACAGTCCCACCAACAGTGTAAAAGTGTTCCTCTTTCTCCACATCCTCTCCAGCACCTGTTGTTTCCTGACTTTTTAATGATCGCCATTCTAACTGGTGTGAGATGGTATCTCATTGTGGTTTTGATTTGCATTTCTCTGATGGCCAGTGATGAGCATTTTTTCATGTGCTTTTTGGCTGCATAAATGTCTTCTTTTGAGAAGTGTCTGTTCATATCCTTTGCCCACTTTTTGATGGGGTTGCTTGTATTTTTCTTGTAAATTTGTTGGAGTTCATTGTAGATTCTGGATATTAGCCCTTTGTGAGATGAGTAGGTTGCGAAAATTTTCTCCCATTTTGTCAAAAAACAGCTTTTTAAGAAATGAGACTAATCTAGCAACTTTATTGAGAGGACGTGAAGTGTTTGCTTAGGAATGGTGCAATTGGTGGTGGTTGTGGACATGTGAGATGTAAGATGCCTCAACTTCCAATGTTGTTCAGAAGCAATCCAGCTTTCTGAATTATTCTTATGAATTCTGGATTTGAAACAGTAACTTCCCAAATGGCAGGGGCTTTCAGCAGAGAGGAACCTGGAGGGACCCTGTCCCTGACACCTTCTGGGTTGTCAGCTCCAGATCAAAAGAACTCCTGATTTGGAAAAAAGCTTCTTGAAAAGAAGAGGGGAGGTGACCTTGGTGAAGCCTCTGGGGACATGAGCTATTTTTAGGGCTTTTGGCAGGAAAAGAGCTTTTGAAAACGGAGATAAGGCATGGTATTAAAAAGGCTTACATTGGAGAAAGAAGTCATAAAACTCCATACAGTTAGGGCAATAGTTTTGTTTTTTACTAGGACAGCATCAGTTTATTGGAGTATTTATATAACATAAGCAAGGTCTCTTGATACTTTAACAATTAACAACTGGATTTTATTTTCTACTATAGGTGCAGTTTATCATTCTGAATCCAAAGCCAAGGAATATAAACATGTATGCAAACGAGCTTGTCAGAGGGTATCAACGCAATGTGTATGATCTATGCGTTTCAGTTTTGAACATAAAGCAGTGGCTCTGAGCGCGACCCGGAGGACGACGCCGCGGCCGCAGCCATGGGTGCTGGGCCTGCAGGGGCGCGGGGGGGAGGGGGACGCTAGGACCTGCGGAGCCGGGCGGGAGAGAGGGCTGCCGGGACCGGCCCTAGACACTGAGCCGCGGTGGGATCCCCGCCGGCTCTGCGAGGCCCCTGCGAGCGCCAGGGAGGCGCCTCGAGGGAGCCGGGCAGCCGCCGGCCACTTCAAGGGGGCCCGCCACTTCACGGCGGTCGAAAGAGCCTTGGGGGCACATCTCGGGGTGCGGTGACCCGCCCGGCGCATTTCGGGGGTCGGGGCGCATTTGCCAGGAGACATCTGGAGCCCGGCCCTGCTTCTGTCGGGCTCCAGGGTACCCCTGGATGGCTGCGCTGTGCCCTCGCCGGCCGCCCGGGCGCCACAGCGGCTGAGTTCGCCGGGATCGCCGGGCCGCCGCCGCCCTTGCCACCGGCTGCATGCTCGGCGCCCGGGTCGCGGCCCACCTGGACGCACTGGGCCCCCTGGTCCCCTACGTGCCGCCGCCGCTGCTGCCCTCTATGTTCTACGTGGGCCTGTTCTTCGTCAATGTGCTGATCCTGTACTACGCCTTCCTCATGGAGTACATCGTCCTCAACGTGGGCCTCGTCTTCCTGTTCGAGGACATGGACCAGGCGCTCGTGGACCTCGGCGTGCTCTCCGACCCCGGCTCGGGCCTTTACGATGCTGACTCGGAGCTCGACGTCTTTGATGGGTACTTGGAGTAGGGTCTCGACTGCCGTTCCCCTCTTCCCTCCACGATCCGCAACCCACGCCCTGGACCAGCCGCCCAGATCATGGCGCCACAGCTGGTTGGGGGCACCATCTGGACGGGGATGGTTCCCCAGGAGGAGACCCTCCCCTGCCTCCGAGGCCTGCCTGCTCCCCTCAAAAGCTTCGTGCCAACAGAGAGGTTCCTGTTTGGACCCAGGAGAGTGGAAGAGAGATTGGGACTGAGTGCTGAGGTTGGGAAGGCACCTGCTCCCACAGAAGGGGGAACGCAAGGGGCGTCCCAAGACCTCATCTGCCTGCAGCGTCACACCGATGGCCTGGCCTTGTCTTCTGATTATTTGCAACTGCCATGGATGTTTACAGGAACCCAGCCAGAGTTTGCCTCCCTGCACTTCATCCCAGAGCGCACCTGCTTCCCCCACTTCACCTTCGGAGAGGACACTTCAAACTGCGGACACACGCAAAAGTAACTCCCAGCTCTGTTTGATGTGAGTTGAGCCTTCAGGCCAGCTGGGTTTAGCCCGAGGCTGGTCTTAGATGCAGCGACTGTTTCAGAGTGACTCAGAAGAAAAAGAAGCTGAGGAAGCTGTTGGGGGGCTGAGGATGGGATTCTCGCTTCTTCATTTCAGGTTACTCGTTCCTCAGCAAGTTGGCAAAACAGATATCATGCTGGTGAGTGCCACGTTACTCCCCTGGCTGGAAATGCTTTTCTGAAAGTATGAGTGTCGTGCCTACTTAATTCTGATAAACCTGTTTAAGCAATACTTAGGAGGCTGACTTCTTTGGATTAAAAAAATGTATGCAACTCCAAAAAAAAAAAGAAATTCAACATTTAAAAGTTTCATTTCTAGGGCAGTCTTCCGGTTTGGACTACAAAATTATTTTGCTTGTTTTTGTAGGGGATCGTTTTGTGTTGTTTTGTGTCTTTCTCCACATGATGCTTAGCTCTTTCCCCACTTCCCAGATTAAAGTCTGTATTTTTGTAATTGTGGGCACACAATCATATCTCTTTTAATCTTTGCAACGATGTTGAACTTCTGTAGACAGAAGGATAGAGAAAACAGCTTGAAGGCAGTCAGTGTGTTTTTCCATGAAAGGAAAAAAATAAATAAAAAAATTAAAATGGGTGCTTTTTTAAGAGAGATTGTCCTATACTTTTTCATTCTGTTTTTCATCACGTAGTTTGTATCATAGCAAGTTCATTGTCATTGCAGAGTTCAGCTTTGCCCTTGTACTCAGTTGTGCTTTTTTCCCATTGGTTTTTGAGGTTTTGCTAAATTGTTGAATATTTAATGTGGGGACAGGAATGGACTCAGAAGAAATGTTTTTTATTTTGATTCTTACTAGTCTTGTAGGCAAACCTTCCATTACTTTTTATGCAAATAGAATCTAGTTGAATATTGTATATCAAGTAAATATGCGTTTCTCTCTGCTCTTTTCATTGATATTTACATAACATTAAAAAGATTATACTTTATCAGAGATTCAAGCTTTTTCTTATGAATGAAGCCCTATAAATAAGAATATTTTGTTACAGGGATTTTGTTCTTTTGAAATTTATAATAATAAAGCTAAAAGTTCTCTAAGCTGTTTTATATTTTTTCTTATTTTTCAAAGTGTGAAATTTTTCTGTCATCTGAAAATAAATTTTATATAACTATAGTCCTAGAAATCTAATACATTTGAATTGTGTATTTAGCCTCTTTAATATTTCCAATGAATACACTTCTTAAAAGTTTAATTAGGAATACAGTTCTTAGTTTTTGAGCTTTCTCTTTGTTGACTAAATTGAAATGTTAATAATTCATTTATAAATGACTTTTCCTTCTCTCTCTTTTCCTCTCCTAATTTATGCTCAAGGCCAGGTGATTTTATAGACCTTTATTCTGTGTAGTTTATATTACAAAATAATATGTTACATCTTGATTTAGAATTTACATTATAGTATCCAAAATGTTTTTGTCAAATGTGTGCTTTTATCCTCAGATTCTGGCGCCCCGTGACTCAGAGTCACTTCTTTTTAGGTATGGAGAGTACTAACGGGGAGGAGAAATGATTCGTTTGAGATTTAGTTATCTATATAAAATACGAATTCTCAGGATATTTGAACCAAACTGGGTCATACGATTTCTGTGGCTATTTTGAATAGCCTTACAATGAATTAAGCTAACTAAATTCCTTGTACTTTTCATTTAATAGCTAGATGTTATTGTTTTAATTTGAAGAATATTAAGTGAGCCATATTACCAATTAACCTGAATATAAACACTTGCTTGTTTTTACTCTGAGTAGTTTATGTCTTAAAGTATGGAATGGAACTAGTGGTCAATTTTTATTAATCTAAGCGTCTCCCATACTTCTTTAAGCTTTTGGAAAGTTTGAGAAGTTGTGATTTTGCAATGAATAATCTCTCCCCTTGGTTTCATAGGCAATTGAAAAGCTGCAGGCCGGTGCTCTTGCAACTGACGCAGTCACTGCAGCACTGGTGGAACTTGAGGTATTTCTTTTCTCTGTTTTATTGAAAATATTAGTGAGTTTATCTTTGTTGTTCTTAAATGACATGAAACTGTTGAGTTAGTCAACCATAAATTATATGACCAGTGTTGCCCACCAGTATTAGCACAGTTATGAAGAAGCCTATGATATTGTTATTTTCATTGGTGACTTTTCTGAGTAATATAAAAGTTGGTTAAATTCCTTTCTTTTCTTGATTTTTTTTTTTGTGAGATTCGTGAATACAAAAGTTAGTGATTGGATACTGAAGTTTCTCATTTTCAGTAGGAAAATCCTTGAAGTTAACCCCCAAAAAATGATGTATGTTCTGTTGTTTAAAAATAAATTCCAACTGTCCAAAGTGCCTAAAGTAGAAGGGGAAGATTCTTCACGAACCTAACGGTTAGATGTATGTCCTGAAATTGTGTGCTGTGAAGTGTGCCTTGTCCCAGTGTTACGGTTAGGTTTGTCCCCAGTTTACTGTGGACATCGAATAATTGAGTGGGGAGGCTCTCACGTTTGCTATAATTTTTTATACTCTAGAGTGAGGTCCTCTTAGTTCTCTTGATTTGGACCCTTGATGAATTCGTGCAGGGGATGTTGAGGTCTTCAGAAGATTGACTTGCTGCTCAAACTTGGAGAAGATAGGTTTGTATCTATCAGTTGAGAGGATTATCGTGAAAAATATTTTTCTGGTTGAGAATACTCCTTAGGGAATCAAGTAAGACATGATGACGAAACAATGATGAGTTTGAGGGAGGAGATGATAGTTAAAGGCGACATTTCCAGGTTGACTGGGTTGTGGCCCTTGTATTCAGGCTCTCATACCAGGGCACGCACCCTTTCATGCCTTTCCTTGTGAAAATTGCCCAGGTGTTTACCAAAAGTCCTAGCTGTGTTTTCTGTATATTCTCATGCTTAATTGTGGACCTGAGCTTTTGATCATGCTTTGTAGATTTTAATTTCTCTTGGTAATGTCAGATTGGTCCTAATGTAGTCAAGGAAGGTGAAAGTATATGGTGGGCACCTAGTTCTATTGAATCTTACATGGGGATGTGTGATGCCCTCCTAATATGACTGATACATTTCATGCCAGCTCTACCAGTCATTAGCCATGTGTCCATGGGTGTGGCACAGTCTGTCCTTGACTCAGTTTCCCTATTTATGAGGATAATAATTCCCACTTCACAGAGTTGTGAAGATTAACTGAGTTCATATATGACTAATACAGGACAGTCTCTTAGAACAGTGTGTGGTACGTAGTAAGCACCCATAACTGTTAGCAATTATTACAGTTATGAGGTGCTTTGGAAGTGGTATGTATGAGATGAATATTTATGGTAACTATTAATGACAAGTTTTACAGCATCAAAGAAAGGTTAATTATATGTTGAGGATCAGAGGAGAAAAATGACATAAGAAAGAAGATAGATGTATTTACCACCAAATGTTACCTTTACTCCAAACAGACACACAAAGAGGGCTTCATCTAACTTAACTAATTCAATTGTTAGTTGAAAATTACTTGCATGGAGTCAGCATAGGTTTGGGAAAGAAGGTTATTGAGTAGCTGGAGAATATACTAGAATGGCAACCATGAATGCAAAACTGAATAAAATTAAGTTTCTCTTTTTATCTTAGAATAACTTTAATTTTCCTAAGTCATACTTATATATCATGTTTAATATTTCATTCTATTTTCCCCTAGTGTTGAATCTGACTTTTAAGGGGTTTACTTATTTATACTTAAAGATGATAAGAATACATTTTGAAATAATGAGTTTCTCCTGAGTAAGTGGACTTATAGTTTTGGATAACTTGTGTTTTTTTAAGAGTGTGGATATGAATTTAAAGGAAAACAATTTCTTGTTCTATTATTTTTGATTGGAATAAGTCATAAGGATAATGGTAGCATAGAATTCTTCCCCAAGTGACTTTAGTGCATCCCACACCTCAACTTTCAATTATTTTATTTTACATATATGTATATTTTTGAGATGGATTCTCACTCTGTAGCCCAAGCTGGAGTGCAGTGGTGCGATCTTGGCTCACTGCAACCTCTGCCTCCCAGGCTGAAGTGATTCTTGTGCCTCAGCTTCCCGTGTAGCTGGGACTACAGGCATGCACCACCACACCCAGCTAATTTTTGTATTTTTTTTTTTTTTTAGTAGAGATGGGGTTTCACCATGTTGACCAGGGTGGTCTTGAACTCCTGAGCTCAGGTGATCCACCTACCTCGGCCTCCCAAAGTGCTGCAATTACAGGTGTGAGCCACTGTGCCTGGCCTCAACTTTTGATTATTAAATCTGTGGAAGAATTTCAATTATCTTTAACAATTAACTTTTCTATGGACTCTTTGATTGAAATATATGTTAATAGTTTAAGGTTAAGCTTACACTAACAGGAAGAATTTTCCTAAATCTTAAGAATTATGTTGCAAATCATGCTTATACTGCCCCCTGCAGTTTCTCTCACCTTGAATAATTGTGATTCATTACCTTAAAACAGGATAGGTTTTCAGATGGACTTCAGTTGGGGAAGTATTGTAATAGCTTGGGTCAATGGAAAGATGTAAGAAGATTGGATTCTAATATTTGCCGTACTTAGAGAAATATAAGTAGCAGTATTGAGTCCTTTCAGAATACTGAAAAGTGCTGAGAAAAATTCTGGAGAGCCTTATTAATAATGCATTATGTTTAATTTGAGAATAAACACTTATCTTAGTTTTGGTCAGTCTATTCAGTTAAGTCATGTCTGGATTATTGAACAGATGCAAACAGTCATTGTTCTTTTCTCTTTAGACTTTGGGATATACTTTTTGATTTAAAAAATGATGTTCTTGCCACTGAGCTTAAGGAAACAATACATAAACATATTTTTAAAACTTGCCCGTTATATTATTACTTAGGCAGATATTGAAATTGATATGAATTCCTTAAATAGTAATTGTGGATTGAAATGACTGAAATGTTTTAATGGTCTTTATTGCCTAGAAAGAGTATCTGGCCGTATATTTTAAAAATGTGATAATTTGTATTTTCCCAAATATTGAAAAGTATACTGATCTTAACTCCATGCAGTGGAGGAGGAAGAGACAAGGCAAAAGAAATGTGTGTGTGTGTGTGTGTGTGTGTGTGTGTGTATAGTAGTGTGTTCCACACACACTAAAGGGAACTATGCAGACATATCATTTTTTAGCTTTTCTTAGAGACTGATAATTTTGTGTGGTTTTATTTTTCTTTACCACCACTACAGACAAGTGATGTCATCTTAAGACTGTCACTTCTGGACAACAGAATGAGGTGTTTTCTTCATTTAAGTAAAGGAGGGGCAGGTGCAAAAGTTCCTATCTATTAAATTGACCACCTTCTCCCTTTAGAATTTTGGGAGGGAAGGTGGCTGCTTCTGTATGAGAGGTTTTCTGCAGTGTGGAAATGCAAATGATATTACTCCAAAGTATATTTTGTTTATCTTCAAAATGTAGGGAAGGAAATGGAAAGGTCAGTTTATAGATCATATTTTAATGATTTATTGGTAAGTTGATTCATTCCTGTTGTTTCATATAGCTTTTTTGAGATTATCTTAATAACTGATGAGAAAGTGAATTCTGTTCACTGGATGGTACAACTCTGGTTTCACTCACAGCAGAGAAGATTAATATTGTGAAAGAATTTGGTCTTCATATTTGGGACTATACATTTGAATGCCAGTTGCTTTTTTGGCTGCTTTTGAAATAGTTTTGGATCAAGTAGTGACAGTGGATTTAAGATTCCAGACCATAATTTTGCATATTTCACATGGTAAAACTTCTAATGTGAATTTCTTTTTTGAGAAAATTGGATATAGAACTGGGTGAGTCATGATGCTACCATTTTCTTAGGATTGTTTCTGAAGTAGAAAGTGTTTCATGGATTCTGATAGAAAATGAACTATTTATAAAATACTGCCTGAAGCTCCTTTTGCACAATGGTGTTTTTCTTAAAAAGTACAAAGACCTGGTTTAAAAAAGTCTAATGAGTAATAATAGGTGAAATATGAATGACAGACTTTTGGAAGGTAATTTATAATCTTTTGTGAGAAAACTGATGAATTTCGCAGAGGTTTTGAAGATCTTGTTGTAACCTTTGAGAAATTTTGGTTAATTCATTCTGAAAACTGATTATTTTGGTAGGTAGAATACCGTGTATTAAGAATAGTGATGGGGCCGGGCACAGTGGCTCACGCCTGTAATCCCAGCACTTTGGGAGGCCGAAGTGGACGCATCACGAGGTCAGGAGATCAAGACCAGCCTGGCCAATATGGTGAAACCCCATCTCTAATAAAAATACAAAAATTAGCTGGGCGTGGTGGCGTGTTCCTGTAATCCCAGCTAGTTGGGAGGCTGAGGCAGAAGAATTGCTTGAACTGGGACCCAGGAGGCAGAGGTTGCAGTGAGCTGAGACTGCACTGAGACTGCGCCACTGCACTCCAGCCTGGGCTACGGACTGAGACTCCGTCTAAAAGAAAAAAAAAAAAGAATAGTGATAGGAATAGCTTTTACGTTTTATGTAGTAAAAGGCAAATTATACAGGTTCCTTTGTTAAAAATCTTTTGTTGAACTTCTGTTATTAAAAATGGACTGTGAAGTTTTTTACTCACTTAATTCATGCTTTAAAGCTCCCTATGGTCAGGGGAGATGCTAATTCATGGTTAAAACTCGTTTCTTGTCCAAATGCTTTAGCGTTTATAGGGCAGATTATATTGGGCCAAGTTTTTAGTCATTCTGTTAAAAACAGTTCATCGTCTTTGGATCTCTGTGTAATACAAATATTGCTTGCTTGTAAACTCTAGGGAAGTCCTTTAAGAATAACTTGTTCAGATGACTGATATTTTGGTATGTAAGAGAAAGAAAGTAGGTATTTTCATTATATATTTATATTATTATATATAATACTGTTATACATTTGTCTGTATCTTTGTTGTTGTTGTTGAGACAGATTCTCGCTCTGTCGCCCAGGCTGGAGTGCAGTGGTATGATCTCGGCTCACTGCAATCTCTACCTCCCAGGTTCAAACGATTTTCATGCCTCAGCCTCCTGAGTAGTTGGGACTACAGGTGTGCGCCACCACACCTGGCTAATTTTTTTGTGTTTTTAGTAGAGACGGGGTTTTGCCACGTTGCCCAGGCTGTCCTCAAGCTCCTGGCCTCAAGTGATCCATCTGCCTTGGCCTCCCAAAGTGCTGGGATGACAGGTGTGAGCCACCGTGCCCAGCCAGGTCTGCATTTCTTTAAGTCAGGGATCTCCAGAATGGGAATGTTGGTCACACTTGAGTAGTTTATTGTGAGGGGACCCCAGCGCAGGCCTCTTGCGCAGCTGCAGGAATAGGCCATATTCTCTTCCCTGGGCTTTATACTTCTGGCTGGAATTGTCTGTGTGCCTCAGGGGGATAGAAGAAACTTCTAAGGCCTGCCAGTCCTTGAAATGCCTAGTGGTCATGGAGATGGTGTGGCTTCCTGATGGCATATGGGCATACCTAGGATGGAAGGGGACATTGGAAAGAGCTGATACATTTCCCTTTTCCCTCACCAAACTTATAACAAGTTTTCTTGTGAGCAGATGCTTAACCACACCCTGCTCCCTACCCTACTTCAGTCATTTGGTTTTTATTGCAAAAAAGGAGGGGCATCTACTTTAAGGTCGTTTCTGTGATTTGGGAAGTTTAAAATTATTTAAATAAACGAGCATCTCGTTTCCTGTACATTTTTATTTTTGTAGAAATTATGTTTTCATAAGCAGAGTGGTCCCTTGCTCTTTCCCCAGCACCCCCTGCCCCCCAGTACAGCTGACCACACTGGAAAGACAGCTTGATGCATTTAGCTCACATTTATGTAAGTGCTCATTAACTATAATGTGGCTGGTGAGTCTAATTTTAGACCTACCACCCTTGAAAATCTCATTTTTCTCTTCCATTGATAATATATTTTATTCTCTGTAAGGGGAGTGGGATGTGTTTCTACGTATGTAAAGTAGAAGATTTACCTTTTTTCTTTTGTAGTACTTACAATGTTTTCATTGCATGAAATTTGAGTTTTGACCTTAGGTGCTCTTTTTTCCTTTTTTTTTTCTTAACTTGGTATTATTGATGATTTCAAAGACCCTATTTTGCCTGTCTGTTTAGCAGTATTCCCAGCGGTGCTTCAGTATTTCTGTGTATTCCAGCTGTTTATGGAGTCTTTATGTTTCTCTGCATTTTTTATTTTTTGAGGTGTACACACACAGTTATGCTTCATGGAGTTGCATCCAACCAAGTATCCATGTTCTTCTTGTGAAGAGGCAGAGAAAATCACCTCTCCCAAGAATTTCCACCTTCTGAACAAGGGAAATGTATCCTGAAGAGCTGTACGTAGATGGGAGGCAACTTGTTTGCTTGTTCTGCTGCTGGAGCATTGATTTAATTAGAAGACAGGCTGTGGGTGGCCATGTGCAGACAAAGAAGCACCAGACAGAGCCCGTTTAGCCTGGGTCAGTAAGAGTAAGTTACACTCTTTTTAAAACACTTTTTTGAGTACTGATGCTGATTCTTGCCTTCAGTACTAAGGGGCAACTTGTAACTTACTGTTTGTGTTTACACATAGATACATCTGTTCTTTTTCTGAGACCCTGGAAATGACACATGCTCTCTAGCACAAAGTACCTGCGCAATGGAAAAGCAGTGATTTCTTCCCCAACCACCTTTTTTTTTTTAAGAATAAAAAGAAAATGGAATCAATGATTACATTCTAGATTAATTTTACACTGTAGCAAACCCGGTGTTAGCGTTTGACCAAGTCAAAACACTTAAGTATAGAGCTTGTCATGCTTTTACTTTGTAGTAATGGGAACATGAGAAACGATTTTAGCCTTTTCCAGCCATTTCTTGATAAGGTATGTGGGTCTCATCAGATATATTCATCCTGGCCGAACCTAGTAGAAGAGAGGGTCCAAGATCAGACCTAGCAGTTCCTGAGGAGCATGGAACTCTATATGTGTGCCCTTGTTTTTCTCTGGGAGTTGTTACTCTCAAAAATATACTTCATTTTGGAAATCAGTTTTGAGCTACCTAAAGCCACATATGGTAGTGTGGTGGAGTTAGTGGAAATCCTGTGTTGTTGACTATGTGGAAGCCATTTAGACTTTTGGATTTTTGAGTATAAAATGTCTTCTAGTCCTATATTAATAGGGATATTACACAAAAGGGATTTAATTAGATTCATTGGTCCTAGGATTTATAGTGTTGTGATTTTTGAATCTGTGTGTGTGTGTGTATATATTTGTGTTTGTTTGGATCTGTATCATTTGTGGCATCAGGTTTATACCTTAGCATCTACTGTTTTGGTTTGTTTTGCTCTTGGTAATGAAGGAAGTAGGCTAAAAAGATTTTTCTATGTTTGGAAAATCACAGGCTGGTATGATGGTGTTTAATTTCAAAGACTACCTTTTGATTTTAAGTTTTTTTCCATCTCTCAAACCCACCCCTTTATTCAGAATCTGGAAAAGAATGAGGAAGAAACTTAAGTTACATAATTTTTAAGATTCTCGGCCTGGCACGGTGGCTCACACCTGTAATCCTAGCACTTCGGGAGGCCGAGACGGGCAGATCACGAGGTCAGGAGATCGAGACCATCCTGGCTAACACGGTGAAACCCCGTCTCTACTAAAAATACAAAAAATTAGCCAGGTGTGGTGGTGGGTGCCTGTAGTCCCAGCTACTTGGGAGGCTGAGGCAGGAGAATGGCGTGAACCCGGGAGGTGGAGCTTGCAGTGAGCCGAGATAGCGCCACTGCATTCCAGCCTGGGTAACAGAGCGAGACTCCTTCTCAAAACAAAACAAAACAAAACAAACAAAAAACCAGATTCTCATCAAGATTCTAAATCTTGCTCTCCTCTCTCTCTCTTTCATGTGTTCATTACCTAAGTGTTAGAATAATGAAGGATTGTACCTCACTATAGAAATCAGCTTAAAGTTGAATCTTAGACATACCAATTGACAAAAGTTCTTTGGCCATTCCCATTGCCAGGCAGTTTTTACAGGCAGTCATTCTCACTCAGGGTCCAGCCTCCTGCATGGTGTACACATTTCCTGACAGCTCATGACACGCATGTACTGTAACACAGGACATCAACACTATAACACATTCATAGTGGGGAATTTATTTTAATGTTTCCTTTTTCTGGAGTATGTGCAAATGTAAGCATATTTTCTAGTGGGTTGGAAGTCTTTTTATTAAAAAAACCTTAGTAGAGGACTTAAAAGTTACTAGTATCCCTCTTTCCTCTCCAGTTCTGACCATGTCATTTGATAAAAGGATGGTTTAAATTATTATAATTCCATGGTCTGTTAGGTTCTTCTTGAGTGATATTTCCATATTATTGTCAATATGGTTAAAAGGTATAATTATTTAGGTTGAAGGGAAGTAGAAGTAGATGTATACAACAGATGGTAGCCTCTAGCTGAGATCCCAAGGAGAATATTCTGTTACTGGGAAAGGGTGATTATGTGTTTATTTAGCAAACACAAAGTGTTTACCATGTGCCAGGCACTCTTTAAGCACTTTACAAATATTGCCTCATTAGTTTTCACAAGTGCCCTGAGATGGGTACTGTTGTTAGCCCTATTTGATGAGGATACTGATGCACAGAGTGGTTAAGTAATTTCCTCAAGGTCACATAGCTAGGAAGTGTTGGAGCCAGAAATGGAATCCTGCTGCCGTGACCCACTCAGTCAATTTTTTTTTTTTTTTGAGACCGAGTCTTGCTCTGTTGCCCAGGCTGCAGTGCAGTGGTGCAATCTCGGCTCACTGCAACCTCCGCCTCCTGGGTTCAGACGATTCTTCTGCCTCAGCCTCCCCAGTAGCTGGGACTACAGGCTCCTACCATTACACTGGCTAATTTTTGTATTTTTAGTAGGGATGGGGTTTCTCCAAGTTGGCCAGACTGGTCTTGAACTCCTGACCTCAGGTGAGCCGCCTGCCTCGGCCTCCCAAAGTGCTGGGATTACAGGCCTTAGCCACTGCTCCCGGCCCCTCATTCAGTTTAATCAACAAATGAACAGCGTCACTGAAGATCCCTCAAACTCAGTGATGAACACATCTGAAAAAGTTAAAGAAAATTAAGTTCAAAGTAGAAACTTTTCATTGTCACCATTGTCCGTGAATGTAGTGATCTAAAAATTCTCTTTATCATTGTGCTTTAAATAGTGATTTAGTTTTGATCTTTAAATGTCAATAGACTATTGATACTTTGATCTTTAAATATCAAATATGTATAGATGTGTGAATATTGGAAAGAAAACATGAATAGTCACTTTTACAGTTCGGGTTTTTGTCTTAAAATTTTGTTGTAATTTCTCTTCCTAATCTTAGATCTGCTTGAGAAGATGGTGCCTGTGTCAGTGCGGCAGTCTTTGGCTGCCTGTGATCAGAGGAAAGCCGATTTGTTAACAGATCAATTGCTCAGATGAGAGAAGCCACCACTTTGGCAAATGGGTAGGTAGAGCTTAATTTTAGAGCCTAAAGTTTTCCGTTTGGTTGTTCTTTAGTTTATGAACATTTTAGTTTCTGAGCTTAGAGCTAAATGCCAAGAGTATATAAAATGGAAAATGTAGACACACACTTACAACTATTTTTGGTGGACACTGTATTTATGAAGCTCTAGCAAATATAGTTGGAAGAAATTATAGAAACAAGGTGAGGATATTTGACTAAAAATTTGTATTTTAAGAGATATTTATTTGGGGGAAATGAGAAGTAGAAATGAACTCAGATACATGGTACGTTTAGTGTTCTGAACCAATTTTTGTTTCTGATGGATTGAATACTAAGAAAATAATTCATTGGTTTAAAAAAATTTTAGGTATATTTTGCACACACGAAATACACCTATTCTAAGTACACAGTTCAATTATTATATGTATATATGTGTGTATGTGTGTGTATATATATATTTTTTTGTTTGTTTTGTTTTGTTTTTTGGGACAGGGTCTTACTGTCACCAGGCTGGAGTGCAGTGGTGTAAACATTAAACATGGCTCACTGCAGTCTCAACCTTCTGGGCTCAGGTGATCCTCCTGCCTCAGCCTCCTGTGTAGCTGAGGCCACAGGTGCAAGCCACCGCACCTGGCTAATTTTTTCATTTTTTTATAGAGATGAGATCTCGCTTTGTTGCCCAGGCTGGTCTTGAACTCCTGGGCTCCTGGTCTTGAACTCCTGGGCTCAAGTGATCCTCTTGCCTTGACCTCCCAAAGTGCTGGGATTACAGGCATGAGCCACCATGCCTGGCTATTTAGTTAGTTTTGATAAATGTATGTACCCATGTAACCGGCACTATGATTAAGATAGAGAACATTACTGTTACCCTAAAAAAATTCTCTCATGCCCCTTTCCCAGTCCTTCTTCTCCTGGCCCCTGGCCACTATTGATCTACTCCCTGTCTTAAGTTTAGTTTTACTTTTTATACAATTTAAAATACATGTAATCATTCTAGCATATACATATACAGTACTTACAGTATGTACAATATATACTTAGAATGTGTTTTGCTTTTTTTCACTTAGTTACTGTTTTTGAGATTCATCTATATTATGTGTATCAGTTTGAGTCTTTTCTATGGCTGAGCAGTATTCCATTTTATGGTTATGGAGTAGTATTCCATTTTATGGTTATAGAGCAGTTTGTTAACTCTTTCACCTGTTAATGGACATTTCAGTTTCTATGAACATTTGTGTATAAATCTTCATGTGGACATATTTTAGTTCTCTTGGGTAAATACTTAGGAGTGGAATTGTTAGGTTGTGTGGTTAGCATATTTAATTTTACATGAAATTGCCAGGTTGTTTTCCAAAGTGGTTGTTCCATTTTATATCCTATCTGCACTGTTTGAGAAATACAGTTGTTTGGCATCCTCACCAATACTTGGTGCCGTCAGTCTTTTTAGTTTTAGCTGCTTTAGTGTGTGTGTAGCAGAATCTCACTGTGATTTAATTTACATTCTCCTAATTACTAATGATACTGAACAGCTTTTCATGTGCTTACTAGCCATTCATATCTTTTCTGTAAAGTGTCTATTGAAATCTTTTTCTCAGTTTTTAAAACTGAGTTTTCTTAATATTTAAAGAGTTCTTTACATATTTTGGAGGCAAGTCCTTTGTCAGATACATACAATTGAGAATATAGTTGACCCTGAACAACATAGGGGTAATGGGTGCTGACCCCCCTGCACAGTCAAATCTGCATATAACTTCTGAGTCCCCAAAACTTAACTACTAATAGCCTGCTGTTGACCAGAAGCCTTACCGATAACATAAACAGTCAATTAACACATATTTTGTATATGTATTATATAGTATATTCTTATAATAAATAAGCTAGAGAAAAAATGCTATTAAGAAAATCATAAGGAAGAGAAAATATATTTACTATGATTAAATGGAAGTGGATCATCATAAAGGTCTTCGTCCTTGTCTATTTCATGTTTGAGTAGGCTGAGGAAGAGGAGGAAGGAGGGTTGGTCTTGCTGTCTTAGAGGTGGCAAAGGTGAAAGAGGTGGAAGTCCACATATACATGGACTCACGTAGTTCAAATCTGTGTTGTTCAGGGGCCAGCTGTATTTCTCTCGTAGTTGGCTTGCCTTTTCATGTGTTTAGTTTTGATTAATGCATGGATTTTACCATCATTTTTCTTGAACAAGAAAGGAATGTAAGTTTACTCTAGCATATGATAAACAGGCAGTCTGAGATTTTACAGAGCTTCTTTTCTGAGGAGTTCATTGTATTCCATCATTTCATTTGCCTTTTTTCTTTACATAGTAGGTAGGGATATGTACCTCCCTTCCCCATCATGTAAATGAAATAACTGAGGAATTGTTAGTGTGCTACAAAACCGAGAACAGATGAAGATTCTGTAATGAAGACTTAGATCATCTATCTTCTGTTGACATTTTGCCTAGATGATGTGAAATTATAATTATTGATTCTGTTGAAAGAGAGCAAAAAAGAAAAAAATAACTATTTTGTGTATTGTTTCTGACTCGTTACAGATGCTGTAACAATCAAAAGTATAAAAGACTGCTTTTTTAGGATAGAATTTTTGACTTTTAATTACTTAGACTGAAAGAAGTTTGAACTGTAAGCCAACGATACCTAATATATTTTAATGCGGTCATAATTTTTCGGCTTTTTTTTTTTTTTTCCAGACGGAGTCTTACTCTGTCGCCCAGGCTGGAGTGCAGTGGTGAGATCTCGGCTCACTGCAACCTTCGTCTCCTGGCTTCAGGTGATTCTTGTGCCTCAGCCTCCCAAGTAGCTGGGATTATAGGTGCTCACCACTACGCCTGACTAATTTTTGTATTTTTAGTAGAGATGGGGTTTCACCATGTTGGCCAGGCTGGTCTCGAATTCCTGACCTCAGGTGATCCGCCCGCCTTGGCCTCCCAAGTGCTGGGATTACAGGTGTGAGCCACTGCACCAGCCTATTTTTTGGCTTTTAATTCTGAATTGTGAACTTAATTTTTTAATGATTTTGGTTTAATTGTATCAATCACTGATTTTTTTGTTTTTCTGTTAATCTTTGCTTTGTTTTTCATTGATAGGGCTTATCCAGTTTTTCTGGGTGCTAACTCCATTGCTGTTGATTTGGTTATAGAAGATTAAATTAAATAAAATAAATATTGATGAGTTAAATTGTTTTAGACTTCAATATAACATAGTATCTCATTTTTTCAGGGTGCTAGCTTCCCTTAATCTTCCAGCAGCAATTGAAGATGTGTCTGGAGACACTGTACCTCAGTCTATATTGACTAAATCCAGATCTGTGATTGAACAGGGAGGCATCCAGACTGTTGATCAGTTGATTAAAGAACTGCCTGAATTGCTGCAATGAAATAGAGAAATCCTAGATGAGGTATGTTTTATAAGATTTGCTTTTCAAGTATAAACACTGTGATCCCTTGATGTCCAGCAGGGATTGGGACTGGAGACTTCCTCATGCTAGTGCTCACAGTGTAGTTAGTATTCATCACTTTGGTGAATTTACTGTGGCCCAGAGCCTTCTCTTTAGCATAAGAGAAATTCTGGTTGAGTGAGAATGGGTTTCATTTTTATCTTAAGGGTAAGTAAGTACACATTAATGAAACTCAAATGACCACTGTGTAAAACTAGTATACTGTGAGAAATCAACTATCATACAAACTGTTCAGTCTTTGTAATTATTGATTTATTTTATACATAGCGTGTAGCAAGATTTTTCTTTTTAGTTTGTCTTAACCTGGAAGGTTAAACCCTTTAATTTATCCCTAATTTCTTGAAATATATTAAATATATTTATTTTATATTATTTATCTTATAATTCCAATGTCTGTAGTTTCTGTGGGTTTGATTCTATGATTTGTGATTTTTGCTGATTCTTGCTTATGGTGGCTTGTTTTCTCTTGTGTTCAGTTTTTTTGTTACTGTTTTTTAAAACTTTAAAAAATAGTTTCAGATTTACAGAGACTTTGCAAATTTAGTGTAGAAAGTTCCTGTATATTTTTCACCTAGCTTCCCTGAAAGTTAAAATCTTACGTGGTCATGGCACATTTGTTAAAACTAGGAAATTGACATTGGTACAGTATTATTACTCCGATTTTACCAGTTATTCCACCAATGTTCCTCCTTCTGTTCCAAGATCCAGTACAGAATACTGAATTGCATTTAGTGTTCAGTGAGTTTTGATTGTGCATTCATATTTCCTGTAATTTATTTGTGGGAATTCATTGAGATCTGGGTTTAAGGTGAATTCTAGAAAGAATTTGTGTTTGCTTCTGCCATAAAAAGGCATTATATACCTGGCACCTCCTCAAACTTAAGAGGTTTTTTCTTTTCTTTTATAATCTTTTAATTATAGTAGTAATTTATCTTAGGACTTTGTGTCACACAAATAGTGTGGTTTCTAGTCCCAAGTTCAGGCTTTTGATCAGGAATCTCAGATAATACTTCTTTTTTTTTTTCTTTTTTCTTTAGAGCCAAGGTCCAGACAGGCATGTTTTCTTCTGTAGGGCAGTTTTCTGTTTTAAAAATTCATCCACTGAGAATCATCTATTTGGAAGTATACCAGTTTGAGTGTGGAGAGTGCTTTTGATCTGACCTCTCACCTTTTATTGTCCCTACCTATGTTTCTTGTTGACTTTTCATGTTCTAAATTCACAATGCAAGTCAATGGTGAACTACACAGCTGGTGAACTATGGATGGTGGGCCAGTGCAGGCTTGTGGCCTACTTTTGTGTGGTTCACTAGTTAAGGATAATTTTTATCTTTTTTAGAGCATTGTCAAAAAAGAAGAATTCTATGTGCCATAGACTGTGGCCCACAAAGCCTAAAATATTTACTCTGTGGTGTTTGACAGAAGTTTGCTATTCTTTGTCCTAAGCTATCGGGGATTGTCATAAATTGTTGGTGCTAGCACTGTGTCTACTGGTAGATTAGTATTTTCTTGTGTTTCTGGCCCCCTACTATCCTGTCATCTTATCTACACATTAAAAGGCATTTAAAAATATATTAAACATAATTTTCTGTTTGTTGTATTGGAATGAAAGTCTAAATCTTTTATTTTTTAATGTAATTGATCAGTTTTTCCCCTTTGTTTATGGCTTCTATTTATCTATTTTAATCTTAAAACTTTCTTTAAATTGATATATGGATGTAAATAGTCTCTTATGTATTCTTCCTTTTTTTTTTTTACTGAGAAAGGTGATAGCTAATTCAGCCTTAAATTTATAAGACTTTTTGTTAAATGCATTATAACTTAGATGTCTGCAAGAAAAAAGTCGATTTATATTCTAACCTAGTATTCCCATCTCACCAAATTCTCCCTTATATTGTGTATGAACAATTTATTAAATGCATTAAATTTTTTAATCCAGAAATGACATTTCAGGGTTCTTTTTGCTTCCTTTTAAAGTCATTAAGGTTGTTGGATGAAGAAGAAGCAACCGATAATGATTTATGAGCAAAATTTAAGGAACGCTGGCAAAGGACATCATCCAATGAACCGTATAAGCCTTTAAGAGCAGGTAAAAATGTGTATAAATGACCTTCATTTGAATAAATTCCCAATTTGGACCCACATTTTTACTTGATTAAATTAGGCTCAGTTGTAAATTTGTTTTTACCGAAACTGTTTTTCCTCAGTTTTAGTATAAAGATTAAAAAAGTTCACAAAAGTGATCTGCCAATTGTCAGAAGTACAGATTCTTAAGAACGGTATAAAGGGAAAAGTTAAAATGGTCCTCCAACTTTCATTTTCTGTTCCAAGCTCTGTGCATATTTTATTTTATTTTATTTTATTTTTTGAGACAAGGTCTCGCTCTGTCACTTAGGCTGGAGTGCAGTGGCAGGATCACAGCTCGCTGCAGCCCCAACCTCCAGGGCTCAGGCAATCCTTCTACTTCAGCCTCCTGAGTAGCTGACACCGTAGACATGTGCTACCACGCCTGGCTAATTTTTGTATTTTTTGCAGAGACGAGGTTTTACCGTGTTGCCCTGGCTTGTCTTGAACTCCTGGGCTCAAGTGATCCACCTGCCTCCACTTCCCAAAGTGATGAGATTACAGGCTTGAATCACCATGCCTGGCCCCTGCGCATATTTTAAAAACATAAATGAGAGCATATTACATTTATGGCTTTGTAATTTTTTTTTCATTTAGTAGTGAATCCTGGGTGGTAAAAAAAAATGAGCTTTAAGTTATTTTGAGGCCAAATTTATGCTTCTTAAGACTTTGATTATGAAGATTTTGTGCTTGCTGAGATAAATGCTGTCTTCGTGGTGGCTGGAGATTAGTTTTATTTGTCTTTGTAAAAAGTTTGTATATTATTGAGATTTTTCTAAAAATCTTTTTTTTTTAAGTCACATTGCTCTTTTGAGAGAGGAATACTTTTAAAATAAATGGACCAATTTTTGGAGAGAATGATTTCTTCCTACATTCATGAGTTGTAGGAAAAGATTAATATTAATTAGGTTTTATTTGGCAGATAGTAACCTCCAAATGTATTTTAAGGTATAGCTATGCTTTTGATTTTATAAGTGATTTTGTCATCTTTCCAAAAACGAGAACGCAAAGACTGTTAGGAGGTGTTTTTATGATTAAGTGAATTGGGGTCTAGAGAAGGGGAAGATAAGTAAAGTTGGAGACTAGAACTCAACATATAACCAGGCCATATACGTTGCTGTTAGAATCACTTCTGTGCTCTGCAAACCTATTTTCTCCCAGAGGGAACCAGCTTCAGAACAGTTTTAGATAAAGCTGTGCAAGCAGATGGACACGTGAAAGAATGTTACCCGTCTCATCATGACCCCATCGTGCTTTTGTGTAAGCCAGAGCCTGAGCTGAATGCTGCCATCCCTTCTGCTAATCCAGCAAAGACCATGCAGGGCAGTGAGGTGAGAAGGGCACTTTGATGTGGGTTGTCATCTGCTTAAGAAAACCACATTCAAGCCATTTTATATAATGCACTGCCAATTCCTTATTGTCATCTTTAAAAAAATGCAGAAATAAATTGGGGTTGTTATATTTCAAGTAGTATATGGACTGTGTAATAGGAAATTATACTAATACTAACTATCCTGTAATAGTCACTTCCATTTATTGAATGCCCCTTTTTGAACTAAATTTTAGATACTTCATAGGTCAACAGTATTTAATTTGGGTTTTATAAAAGAGAGAAGCTTGGAAGTATAGAAATTTCCTGAAATGAAAGGACTGGGTATGGCCAGATACACAAATTCTTTATTTCTTCCATTGTTCTCTACTCCCTTCCACCTTGTTTCCCCGGGACTACCTTTGAAGGGAAGATTGGCAAGGTGTGCGTGTTAATAAATGGATAGCTCCGTCATGGTGTTTCTACTGATGACAGGAAAGAGAGAATTGAATAGTAGGGCATCTGATTTGGAAAGTCCTAAGAGAAAGTGCAAGTATAATTTAATGGCCTATCACGGGGAGGTAGGGTAAGTTAGTAGGAAAAGATAGAGGTCCCAAATCTCTGCACAGGAAAACAAGCCAAAGGGCAAGAAATACTGCTGAAAACTTCTTGAAAAAAGTGAATTTCCTGGGATAGTAAGTTCTGAAAAGTATGAGTTTTGTTTCTTATTTGTCATTCCGCAGAAGCATTTTATATATTTCATATATGTATTCCAAGACCTACTGGATATCTGCTCTGTGTAAGGCACTATGGTAGGTACATTGGAAAATTAACATACAAATTATACACAGGCTTTACCCTCAATTTATGATCCTTTGTGGAATATTAGTCATGTACAGGGATGACTGTGATATAGGGAAGAAGTTTAAAAATGTCACAGGGAAAGTATAGGAAGTATGTTATGAGGATTTAGATGAAGTACTTAAAATTTCAGTAATTTGGAGTAGTTCTCTTCAGAGGCTTCTTAAGAGATTGGCACATTATGAGAACAGAGTGGATAGGCAGAAAAAGTAAACGTGTAGGATCGGAGAAGGGCTGAGTAGTGGCTGTGTCTAGAGAGTTATCCGAGGTTCAGAGGATCTGCAAACACAGCTTTTACTCCTGATTTCTCGTGACAGAAGGTTTATAGACATGTTGAGAATGGCTGGAATCTGTTTATTTATTTATTCACCAAGTGTTTGAAGGCCTGCTATTCCAGAGCAGTGCTGAGCACCTTGGTCCCTAACATAAAGAGACAAAAAACTGCTCTGGGTTACCTTTAGTGTAGGGTAAATGCACAGGTACCGGGCACCTCTCAAAGGGAAGAGAAGGCTACGTAGTTGAATGTGCATTGAACCTGAATCTAACGGGGGAACCCAGTGGAACAGGGAATGTGAGTTGTTGCTTTGAGGACATAGCGGAGAAAAGGGAGGTGGTCAGAAGATTAACCTGCGAGCAACAAAGAACCCGAAGAAGAAACTGTAGACCCTTGGAAGAGCAATACATTCTGGTACCTTTTTTATTTTAGAAAAAGATCTCTGTTTAGTACTCTCTTTGTATTCTTTTTGGTGTCTTGTACATGACTCAGAATTATGTGGCTTTTGTCCTTTGATTCTTCTGCTTTCAGTAGAAAAGTAAAAATGGTTTGTGCTAAGCAAAATCTGCATTGGTATGCACTGATTTGTTGATATTTTATTCAGTTGTATCAGTTTTATTAGTCCTTACTTGTGTTACACAGGAGAAAGGAACTTTTATAGTCAATATGAAGTAATTTTTTGGAAGCTAGATTTCTTGATGGGGTAACCACAAAAATTTCAGTACTCTCTATATATTCGTTTGTCTTGTGCCTTATTCAAATAAGGCAAGCATCAGGTTTATCAGAGCTATTTCAGATGGTTGTCGTAATAGTTGATGACGCATTTTAGCCAGAATTTTTATGTTAAAACTCAGTTTTTTGATTGCTGATTAGAGTGATGCAATGTACATGTTTTATTAAAAAGTCCAAGTTTGATGGTAGGGCTGTTTTTTCTTTTATTGTGAAGTAGCCTACTTTCTAGTTACTTATTTTCAGTCTCTTTGGGCATCTGGTTTTAGATATTGAGATACTCTGAAAAATTTTGCAGACTAGTGGTCATTTGTATTTCAAGATTTTTGTATTAAATACCTAGGATCACTGCTTGTGATTGGTTGCCTGTGATCTACTGTGGCCTGAAGTCTGGTCTGTGGTTGGCTGGCCAAGCCTTGGCCCTAATGTATATGGGGCTGAGTCTAGCCAGAGGAAGGAACATCTATTTTTTTGCACAAGGATGATGTTCAATTATACTCAAAGTGTTACATCTGCTGGGAGTAGTGGAGGGGGTACCTTTGAAAAAAAAAACCCTTTATCTCCTTAGAGGTAGAGCATAAAGAGAACTGTTTAAAACTGTGTGCCCTCCCAGAGGAGTGCCTTTTTTGGATTCACAGACTAGTGGAGGATCTGCAAACACAGCTTTTACTCCTGATTTCTCGTGACAGAAAGTTTATAGACATGTTGAGAATGGCTGGAATCTGTTTGTTTATTTACTCACCAAGTGTTTTTTGAAGGCCTACTATTCCAGAACTGTGCTGAGTACCTTGGTTCCTAACATAAAGAGACAAAAAACTCCCCTAGGTTACCTTTAGTGTAGGGTAAATGTATCAAGTTTCTGCATTCCTTGCTGTAGACATTGTTGCTTATTTGCCTTTTCTGAAAATAAAATGACAAGGTTATAAAAGTAAAATAGAAGATTTCGTTGAGGGCATTTCTTTCTTTCTTTCTTTTTTTTGAGACGGAGTCTCGCTCTGTCACCCAGGCTGGAGTGCAGTGGCGCAGTCTTGGCTCACTGCAATCTCTGCCTCCTGGGTTCAAGCAATTCTCCTGCCTCAGCCTCCCGAGTAGCTGGGACTGTAGGCATGCGCTACCATGCCCAGCTAATTTTTGTATGTTTAGTAGAGACAGGGTTTCACCATGTTGGCCAGGATGGTCTCGATCTCTTGACCTCGTGATCCGCCTGCCTTGGCCTCCCAAAGTGCTGGGATTACAGGCATGAGCCACCGCGCCCGGCCCATTGAGGGCATTTCTTATGTCTCATATTGTACTTGGTGCTGTTAAATGCCACAGAGGGTTTTAAATCTAAAACTCAGGTCAGGAACCTGTGGCTTGTGGGCCGAATCCTCTGCCTCTTCTCTTTGTATGGCCTGGGAGCCAGGAATGAGTTTTACATTTTTTAAATATAAAACTCTACTTTCTACTTCATTTTTTAAATGGCTAAAAAAAAGTCAAACAAATGTTTTAATATGTGGGCATTATATAAAATTCAGATTTCAGTGTTAATACATTTTTGTTGAAACATAGCTGCGCTCATTCATTTACACATTGTCTTTCACACTGCAAAGCAGAGTTAAAGAGTTGCAACAGAGACTGTGGCCTACTGAGGCAAAAATATTTTCTGTTTGGTCCTTTACCAAAAAAGTTTGTAAGTTCCTGATCTGAAAGACAAAGTATTGACAGCCTAGGTGATGCCATTCCTGCCATTCTGTTTGACCTCATCTCCTGTTCTGCCTTTTGTTTACTATGCTTCAGCCAGAGTGGCCTTTTTTTCTTTCCTTTGATCCTGCCAAGCTTGTGCCTGCCACAGGACTGTTACATTTGCGTTTCCTTCTGTGCAGGGCTTTCTTCCCATTTCCATGGCTATTACCTCTTTTTCATTAGTCTCAGATGTCACCTCTTCTCCATCTTTGTCATTGTCTACCCACATTATTCTATTTTTGTGTATTTGTTTAATCCTCCCCTTTCCATATTTATTTAATCCTCTCTGGTCTGCGAATGAAGGAAAAGACTGTTTTTGTTAGTAGTTGTGTCCATAGCATCTAGAATGGTCCCAAAACAAAAAGCATTTGTTTGAATGATCATCGCTGGCAGCTTTAACTTAATAAAGGGACACATTTAATTGCAGTTGAAAGATAGCTGGAGCTGTGTATAAGAAATAAATACGCTAGGATTCTAATTATTTATATACTTTGATAACATGTTAAACCTCAAATTTGAATTTATAAGAAAATTTAGGCAGTGGTTTTCTTATTATCATGGTCATTCATTTGTGGAAGCAGTTTAATTCATTTTCTACTTCATTTACTCTGTTAAAATGAGGCGAGTGTCATATAATCTGAAATATGTTAAACTAGTGCACTGCATATGAATTTTTTTAAAAAGATGTTCGTAATATAAGGGATCTCTATCTTTGTGTGGTAGTCCACAAGTTTGTTCATAAATTCGTTGTTTGAAATGGCATTTTTTCCCCAGAAAGTTAGAATTATTGCATTTTTGAATATCACAGGATTTGTTAACTATTTGGCCCTCTGTATCAGTCTGGTTAGAAAGCTTCTGTATCAGTCTGGTTGGATACCATGGAAGTTGCGGTTAGCTTTTCTTCCTAATCTAGGTAATATGATTGAATACTTACCCTTTGTTAGAAGTTATGTTGAGCACTTTATATAGATTATCTCAGTCTTCACAACAGTCCTGAAATAGGTACTACTATGCCCATTTTGCAGCTGCGAAAATTGAGTTTTCTACGTAGTAACCTGTCCTTGATTGCACAGTCACTAAGCCCATTATGGTCTCTAAGGGAGTATAGTCCGAGTTGAAGTGTTTTTAATTTTCTATGTAATTACGTTTTTTCTGTGTAATTACGTTTCACTTTGATAGACCATTAGTTCATTTGTTTCCATATTCAAGTTTTGACTTAATCTTGTTTTCTGAGTGTGTAAAAAATGTTCATGATTCAAAAGGTACATGCAGAGTAAGCCTCATTCCTTTTCCTTCTACTTCTTTCCTGTATACTTCCTGTAAGTAACCATATCCGTTAGTTTCTGGTTTGTCCTTACTGATTTTCTTTTTGCAAGAACAACAACAAACAAAAAACCCAACCTCCCCCAAAATTATGCATACATATGTATACATATGTACATATTATGTATGTGTATATTTATTTTCTGATTTTCCTTCTGTCTTACTCAAATTGCAGCACACTATATATGCTTGTGTACCCTTTTTTTCTCATTTAATAATATGTCCTGGAAGTCACTTGGAAGGAAACTTTTATTCACATCGTCTGATATCAAGTTCTACTAGGTCTTTAAACAGACTTTGTCATATCCACCCACGTATGATTCTTTCTCCTCCTCCTTCCTTTTAGAGTTTCTGTGGTTTGATGCTTTCTAGACTCTAGGAATCATATTTCTTTCTCTTTCCACAGCCTTCTCCCCTGTACCCTCTTCTTTCTCTCCCTCCCTTTCTCCTTCCCTTCCCCCTTCCTTCCTCTCTTCTCCCCCTCCCCCTTCTCTTCCTTTCCTTTCCTTCCATTTTAAAATTAGGATGTTTAGAAGATACGGATGTAAACGAGGCCAAAAAGGAAATTCGCCTACATTTAGCAGAAACCTCGAGTCTCTGGTCTTCACAAAGGGATGTTACTTTGGATGTTCCTATCAAGGAGTTAACTAAGACTGTGGAAGAAAGAGTAGGGTAGGAATTTTTAGAAACAGGCAGTTGGTAGGGGGATCATGGGAATTGGACTTGCTGCTGGTAATGAGAAAGACAGGGGTGGAGACAGGGCTCATGATGTCCTCTTCTTCCTTTGTCTTTCCCCCGGTTTTCTTTCTATGAGCATCATTGGGGCAAGCAGAATAGGGAGATTGGGTTGATGTTCTTGGTGGTCCTAGCAAAGTATGAAGAGATGAGTGAAAGGGCAGCTTGAAAGTGCTCATTAGAAGGCACTTGAACACTATGAATATAAAGGGGTATTTATGAATCAGGTGGGTATAAGTCAGAGAGTGTCTTGACTGAATACAAGAGATAAATCTCTGTTTTGTTTTTGTGTTTTGTTTTGACACAGGGTTTCTCTCTGTCACCCAGGCTGGAGTGCAGTGGCGTGATCATCGCTCACTGCAGCCTTGACCCCCTGGGCTGAAGCAATCCTCCTGCCTCAGCCTCTGAAGTAGCTGTGACTGCAGGTGCACACCATTGCACCCAACTAATTTTTTTTTAATGTAGAAATGGGGGTCTCACTTTGTTGCCTGGGCTGGTCTCGAACTCCTAGGCTCAGGTGATCCTCCTAAAGTGCTGGGATTGCAGGTATGAACCTCTACATCTGGCCTAAAACTCTTAATGCTATGAAGAGAGGCACAAGAACCCTCTTTCCCTTTCCTCTCCTGGTGTATAAAATAAATGCGGTATATACCTTTATATCTGTGTCTTTCTCTATTTCTTTCTCCATCTACCGTGCTTGCTTCATAACTATCTCTATTTCTATCTTCACCTCTATTTCTCTATATCTCTATCTCTCAGTCTCTCTAGGCAAAATAGGATATCTACTTATCTAACAAACTCATACCTTCCCCTGCTTCACAGCCATGATTGGGAGGGAGTAGAGTGTAGAGTGGCTAAGAGATTGGTTTTGGAACTAGTCAGACTTAGGTCTCAAATTTCACCTCTGCCCCTTAGTAGCTGTATAACCATGTCACTTAATTTTTCTGAGACTCGTTATCCCTATCTTTGGAATAGAGGTCATAAATATATATACCCCATGGGGTATTGTAAGGAATACATAAAATTATATTTCTGAAGTGTTTAGCATGGTGCCTAACACATAGGAGTTCAGTAAATTGTAGCTGTTGGCTATTGTTATTAATGCTGCTTTTGTTTTAGTATGAGTCAACTGAACGTACAGTGTCTATCTATATAAACCTGATGTTCAATTTATATTTGGCTCTCTGAGAAATCATCTCTCTCTCAGCCTGAATGAACCTTTATATATTATTTCCTTCTTGAAATTGGCTTTTTTTTTTCAGTTAAAGTGTCTTTTTTATTGTTTAGGTTGTAAATGTCTTAAAATCCTTATTGTCAAATCTTGATGAAGTAAAGAAGGAAAGAGAGGGTCTGGAGAATGACTTGAAATCTGTGAATTTTGACATGACAAGCAAGTTTTTGACAGCCCTGGCTCAAGATGGTGTGATAAATGAAGAAGCTCTTTCTGTTACTGAACTAGATCGAGTCTATGGAGGTCTTACAACTAAAGTCCAAGAATCTCTAAAGACACAGGAGGGACTTCTTAAAAATATTCAGGTGAAATTTATGTATTTAATAACATCTATGTTTTAAAAATTACAGAAAAGATATGTCTGGACTAAACCTATATTCAATTAGAAAAATGACATGGAGAATATCTATAGTTGAGAGTAGAACTTAATACATGTATGTTTTGTAAAATTAAACTTGGCACATCAGTTTTATTTGTATCTATGAAACCAAGTCACTCCTTTTTTTTTTTTTTTTTTTTTTTGAGATGGAGTCTCGTTCTGTCGCCCAGGCTGGAGTGCAGTGGTGCGATCTTGGCTCACTGCAAGCTCCACCTCCCGGGTTCACACCATTCTCCCGCCTCAGCCTCCCGAGTAGCTGGGACTACAGGCGCCCGCCACCACACCCTGCTAATTTTTTGTATTTTTAGTAGAGACGGGATTTCACCGTGTTAGCCAGGATGGTCTCCATCTCCTGACCTCCTGATCCTCCCTCCTTGGCCTCCCAAAGTGCTGGGATTACAGACGTGAGCCACCACGCCCGGCAGAAACAAAGTCATTTCTATGGCTAAAATGTTGCATATTACTTAGGAGTGCTTGATACTTCTGATATTTTTCATGGTTTCAAGTTTTTAATAGCTTTGTTTTTTTTTCCATACGGGAGGAAAATCGAAATTAGTTGGAATTACTGATACCTTTAATTATACGGCTAACATACATACAGACTTCAGTCATTTTTTAAAAAAATAATGCAAACTAAATATGTTGAGAAGTTTGAAGTTAGTTTTCGTGTTTACAGATAGGTAGTTTGGACTAACAAAGACTTGAAAGTTTGCCCTTTTCATAGTTAATGTGCAAAATTAAACATATATTTCTACTCCTAAACATTGTATCTATATATGATATAAAATATTCCAAAAGGTAAAATAATTTTCATGTTATATTTTTTGCAAGTGTTATATACTAATAGAAATCTGTGATCATTATTGGTTGTTTTGACTCCTATTGGATTTTTGAAATTTTTACTTAAGAAAGATTTAAAGCATAATGAGGCTTCAAAAGAGTATACTAGGTATTTCTAGTAATTTTGCATATGTATTTAATTACATATAATTTTCATAATTGGAAAAGATCAATAAAAATGTTATAAGCCATATTAATTTTATAAGTAAATGTAAATACATAAATCTTTCTTTTAACAAGGTCTCACATCAGGAATTTTCGAAAATGAAGCAATCTAATAATGAAGCTAACTTAAGAAAAGAAGTTTTGAAGAATTTAGCTACTGCATATGACAACTTTGTTGAACTTGTAGCTAATTCGAAGGAAGACACAAAGGTATGAAGTACATGCAAAAGGAACCATAGCTAGCAAGTACAGATGTGAACGTATAGGTTGGAAGTTAAATGGTATTTCCAGTTGAACCAAATTACTCTTTGCCTGGAATGTTAGCTTTAATGCCATTGCCTCTGCGAAGTTTGTTATAGGAGGGAGAAAGCTTAATGAAGGTGGCAACATTTCATGGGAACTTTGAAGAATGAATTGCATATTTCAACTGGCAGAAAAGGGGTACAAATATTCCAGGTAGCAGGAATTAGCAGAGATGTCAATGACACCTTTTTAAGGGATAGGAAGTTGATTAATTTGATGAATTTTGAGGGGACAGGAGTAGTCAAAGCTGATTTGTGATGGAAAAGCTGGGGGACATGACTTTTATATTCTGTGTGGTGGTTTGCTGAGGACAGACTTGTGGCCTGCCCAAGTGTCAGAAGGCTTACTGAATATGTAAGTACTTTCTTGCCTTGTCCTTTAAAAAGTTTAGGTAATTCACTTATATTTCTTTTTACCAATTTGTTTTTGAGGGAACAGTGATTTTTAAGGTTTTTCAGATGCATAATTCCTTTTGGTACTTAACTCCATAATAATCACTGAATAAAGTTACCTTGATATAAATACAGTAGGTAAAATGTAAAACCCTCTGAAGAGAGGGTGAAAATACTGCAAAGCCTTCCAAATAGAGAGGATAGTAAAATGCCATTTTAACTTGGTTTAAAATGCTTTCTTTAAATAGGTAAGCTGAGAAAACCCTCCAGAGAGCCTTTAGAAATTCTTTTAAGGGTTTCTGAAGTGTGCTTGCATTTCTTTTTTTTTTTATATACTTTTAGGGTACATGTGCACAACGTGCAGTTTTGTTACATATGTATACATGTGCCATGTTGGTGTGCTGCACCCATTAACTCATCATTTAGCATTAGGTATATCTCCTAATGCTATCCCTCCCCTCTCCCCCCATCCCACAACAGTCCCCGGTGTGTGATGTTCCCCTTCCTGTGTCCATGTGTTCTCATTGTTCAGTTCCCACCTATGAGTGAGAACGTGCGGTGTTTGGTTTTTTGTCCTTGCGATAGTTTGCTGAGAATGATGGTTTCCAGCTTCATCCATGTCCCTACAAAGGACATGAACTCATCCTTTTTTATGGCTGCATAGTATTCCATGGTGTATATGTGCCACATTTTCTTTATCCAGTCTATCGTTGTTGGACATTTGGGTTGGTTCCAAGTCTTTGCTATTGTGAATAGTGCCGCAGTAAACATATGAGTGCATGTGTCTTTATAGCAGCATGATCTATAATCCTTTGGGTATATACCCAGTAATGGGATGGCTGGGTCAAATGGTATTTCTAGTTCTAGATCCCTGAGGAATCACCACACCGACTTCCACAATGGTTGAACTAGTTTACAGTCCCACCAACAGTGTAAAAGTGTTCCTATTTCTCCACATCCTCTCCAGCACCTGTTGTTTCCTGACTTTTTAATGATCGCCATTCTAACTGGTGTGAGATGGTATCTCATTGTGGTTTTGATTTGCATTTCTCTGATGGCCAGTGACGATGAGCATTTTTTCATGTGTTTTTTGGCTGCATAAATGTCTTCTTTTGAGAAGTGTCTGTTCATATCCTTTGCCCACTTTTTGATGGGGAGTATGCTTGCATTTCTGTAGTGAATTTGAAAACCTAATCCTTCCACTTAAATAGGTTTCATGTTATTAAGCAATTGACTTTTCTCTAGGAATTAGGAAGATTTTCATGATCATGAAACTTTTAACTTGTTACATTTTTGATGATAATGTTCTGTAAAAATGATTTTATTATTTTTATTTTCTTTAGGAATCTTAGATCATATTTAATATTAAGTTGTTGGGCCTAGTAAATTGTACGGATGTATCTCATGCAGATCTCAGTTCTTCGGCTTTAACTGTCATTGACAAATTAGCTTTAGATCACATTACTCTCTGGATTAAAAAATTGTTCTTGTTCATTACTTGTATTTGTTCTTTGCTTATAGTTTTACAATGAGTTGACTGAAATCCTGGTCAGGTTCCAGAACAAATGCAGCGATATAGTTTTGGCATGGAAGACAGAAAGAGATGAACTCTTAAAGTAAGTCTGTTTTGTGTATCAAATTGTACTTAAAGAATTTTCTTTTAAAAAATCATGTGGAGACTTTTGGTGTGGTCACAGAAATGATAAAACAGTTCAGGTGGCAGATCTCAGGAAGTGCCAGTAAATACAAGCAATTTATTTTGAAGTGGCAAATAGGTTTCTTACATAAAACTAGAGCTATAGAACATGGAGGAGACAGCGTGAATAGCTCAGAGAATACCAGCAAAATCACTTTCAGAGGAGGCTGCTGAGAAAGCAGGGCCAGTTAACATACGACTCCTTTCCTGCTGAGTAATCAATACGGAGTAGCACAGCGCTGATAAAAGGTGAAAAACATTAACAAAATTTAATAAAACTTCATAGATGAAGAACATTTACCAAAATAATATTGTCACAGAATAGGTGAAAATTATGAGCAAACGTCTGACCATGAACTAAACAAAAAGAACAACAACAACAAATGTAAGAAGGCAGTCATTCTAAGGCCGGGGTCCCCAGTCCTGGGGCCATGGACTGGTACTGGTTCGTGGCCTGTTAGGAACTGGGCTGCACAGCAGGAGGTGGGTGGCAGACAGGCCGGCGGCTGGGCGAGTATTACTGCCTGAGCCCCACCTCCTGTCAGGTCAGCCTCAGCATTAGATTCTCATAGGAGCGCAAACCCTATTGTGAACTGCCCGTGTAAGGGATCTAGGTTGTGCGTTGCTTATGAGACTCTGACTAATGCCTGATGATCTGAGGTGGAACAGTTTCATCCTGAAATCATCTTCCGCTCCCCTGTGGAAAAATTGTCTTGCATGAGACCGGTCCCTGATGCCATAAAGGTTTGGGGACTGCTCCTCTAAGGAACACTTGGAGCAGAAATTCCAGAACTGCAGGAATATGGTAAGAAAACAGGAAGTGGTAAGATGTGAGGTGTCAGAATTCAGGAAAGAAGTAGAAGGGAAGAATCAAACCACGACATGGGAAAGAGCACAAAGGGCGAGTAAACACTGAAGAACACACAGGAACACAGAGTAGAAATGAGGAAATTAAAATGAAACCAAAGTCAAGAAAGAATGAGAAAGGATTAGAGAGAAGATGGGCACAGAAGATCTAATATAGGCAAAACTGAATTTCTCTCAAAGAAGAAAAACCAGACAGAACAGTTATTTAACGTTCTGTAAACAGAGCACTTATTTCATGATACTCAAGAACATTTTCTTAAAACAAGTGAAGGTTGTTGAAAGAGGATATCACATGGTAGGGGAAATTGATCAAGAACTGTCAGCATCAAGGCATATAAATTATTGGCCTTAAAAGGTAATGGCAGAATCCTTTAGGCACTCAGGCAAAACAATCAAACCAGTATATAAAAAGGTGAAAAAAATTAGGCTGGCAGCTCTGTATGCCAGAAGAGAGTGGAGTGATTGCTGTAATCTCAAGGATAGTAAATATGAGCTAAAGATTTTATATCATATAGTAAATACATGCTAAAGATTTTATATCCAAACTGTCCTTCGGGTACATAAAAAGCCATATATTCATTAGTAATAAATATAAAGAGCTGAAAGAGTCTTATACCGATGACCCTTTCAGCCAACTAGATCTTTATTCATCTCTCTGTTCATGTTCATGTTCATTCACCTCTCTGCTCATGTTCATGAGAGAAGTTATTTTCTTCTACCTCTAAGAAAGAGCAGGTTAGTTGTTTTTAGAATATTTCTACTAAACCTATAAAAAGCAAATAATTAGAATGTTTTAAAAATGGTTCTAAATGTTTTAAAAAAGGTGATTTTTTTTAGATAGAGTTTTGCTCTGTCGCCCAGGCTGGAGTGCAATGGTGCAATCTTGGCTCACTGCAACCTCCGCCTCCCGGGTTCAAGCAATTCTTCTGCCTCAGCTTCCCAAGTAGCTGGCATTACAGGTGTGCGCCACCACGCCTGGCTAATTTTTGTATTTTTAGTAGAGACAGGGTTTTGCCATGTTGGCCAGGCTGGTCTCGAACTCCTGACCTCAGGTGATTGGAATTACAGGTGTGAGCCACCCCCCCAGCCTAAAAAAAGATGAGTATTCTCCATATTATTCTTAAAGATAAAAAAAACCTAACAAAGATTAATACAAAACAGTCTACAGACCAGTTTCAGTTATGAATATGGATGCAAAAGTCCTAAATAAAGTATTTGCCAGTAATAGTCACCAGGACGTTAAAAAATAATTATTGACCAAGGGGAGGGGGGCATTTATTCCAGTATTCAGTATTCAGTGTTTTCACGTCAAAGGAAAGATCACAGGCTTGTCTTAATAGATGAGGCAGAAGCATTTAAGAAAATGAGTGTTCTGATACTCAGTAAAATAAGAATAGATAGAAGATAGATGCTTCCGTAACATGAAAAAATATATGTGTATGTGTGTGTATATATTTCTGCCCAAAACTCAGTATAGTGATTAATGGAGAAGCACTATAAACAGTCCCCTCTGAAGTCAAGAACAGACAACAAATGTCACTGTCAGCACTATTTTTAAATACTATACTGCAGTACCAGCCAAGACAATCACATGAGAGAGAAATTAAAAAATAGGAAAGGAAGAAGTAAAACTAGCACTATTTACAGACATTATGATTGTACAACTACTTGAAAACCCAAGAGAACCCCAAAACTCTGCAAATAATAAAATAATTATTACTGAAGTTGTTGATCATAAAAATAATTTGTAGAAATCAGTGGCTTTCATGTAAATAAACCTATAGAGGATAAGATGAAGAGACCCACTTACGGTAGCAACAAAAAGGATAAAATATAAAATATAAGTTTGTCATATATGAGACCTATGTGAAGAAAACACTATTTCAAGGACACAAAAGAAGGCTTGAGCAAGTTAAAAAGCATGTTCTTGGGTAGGATGACTCAACTTCATCAAGATGTCAACTCTCAGTTAACTTATGTATCAACTGGGCGTGACGGCATGCACTGCGAGTCCCAGCTACTTGGGAGATTGAAGTGGGAGGATGGTTTGAGCCCTGGAACTCTAGGTTGTAGTGCGCTATGATTGTACCTATAAATAGCCACGGTACTCCAGTCTGGGCAGCAGTGAGACCCTATCTCTAATAACAAACATAAATAAAGAAATAAACATATACGGCCGGGCGCGGTGGCTCACGCCTGTAATCCCAGCACTTTGGGAGGCCGAGGCAGGTGGATCACGAGGTCAGGAGATCAAGACCATCCTGGCTAACACGGTGAAACCCCGTCTCTACTAAAAATAAAAAAAATTAGCCGGGCGTGGTGGTGGGCGCCTGTAGTTCCAGCTACTCGGGAGGCTGAGACAGGAGAATGGTGTGAACCCGGGAGGCAGAGCTTGCAGTGAGCCGAGATCGTGCCACTGTACTCCAGCCTGGGCGACAGAGTGAGACTCCGTCTCAAAAAAAAAAAAAAAAAAAAAGAAAGAAACATATGCATTCAACATGCTTTTGATTAAAAAAAATCAGCTTTTCATTTGGAATTAGACAAGTTGATCCTAAAGTTCAAGTAGAAAAAGGAACAAGGTCAGCCAGGAAAACAATAAAAAGAGTAGTGAAGGGATACTAGTTCTACCAGATATTAAGGTATATAATACCATCTTTAATTAAAACACAGTGGTACTGGTACATGATTAGACAAAGACAGAATAGAAAATAGAAATAGATTCAAATACATATGTGAATTTAGTGTAAAAGATCTTCAACCAACCAGAAGAGGTTGTGGACAACTGCCCAGCCATTTAGAAAATAAAAGTTATCTTTATACCAGAGTAAGTTCTGAGTGGACCAAACTTGAAATTTGTAAATGAAATATAAAGTGTAAAATAGAATGGAGGAGAATTCCTTAATAAAGCTGGGATGGGCAGGATCTAATAACTCCTACTTAAAATCCAGAAGCCATTAAAAAAAAGAAAATAATAAGTTTCTCATAGAAATATGATAAACAGAGTCAGGATATGACAAATTGGGGATCCAATATTTGAAACTTATTCAGAGGCAAAAGGCTAATTTACTTTATTTAGAAAAGAACTCCTAGAAATGAACAAGAAGAAAACCCAGTAGACAACTGAGGAAAAGATGCAAACAGAATTTTGCAGACAAGGAAATACAAATAGCTCTTAAATAAATGAAAAAAAAATGAATACCCTCATTCATTATAAAATACAAATCAAAATTAGTCTGAAGTAATATTTTTCAGATTGGCAAGAATCTGAAAGTTTGTTTAAAGTCTGTTCTGGGTCTTCCACATTCATTATTCTCTACGGTCAATCACATTCCAAGGATTGTTGCCTCCAATGCATGCCTTTTTCTCAATTTTATTTTCTCCCATCAGAGTCATGCACAGATTAGCTCCCAAGTGAGCTATTATAATGGCCTCCTAGCATCTAAACTCTCCTTTTTTCCAATTGATAGTTCTGCCAGAGTTGTCTTCTTAAAGCAGAGGTTAGACCGCATTTCTCTAAGTAAATTCCAATGACACCAAAACAGTGATTCTTAATAAGAATTACAAGTAGGGAAATACAGATGGGAGAGTTTGCTTAGTAAATAAGTTCATAAAATCTAGGTTAAACAAAGTTAAATGGGGTTTGCTTTTCGCTGTTGCTTTGTTAATGTGCATTTGAAATTTCTAAAGTGGCATTACATATCCGTAATTTCCCTTATCTATTTGACAAAGGAATCTGGTTTGTTTAGAAGCATTTTTTCAGAGCTGTGATAGGTCAACCTTTCAGAAATTCCTCATTATCAACAGTCAAATCCAGATGTATTTTCTTTGGCTCTCACAACAGGCTTAGAGGAATTTCTAGTCTGTTCTCCTGATGTTTCATTATGTGCATCTTTTGCTTAGGCCTGTTAAACCTTCTCAATGTGTGTATCTTCTACTCCATGTCTTTATTCCTACTGTTGTCTTAACAGGAAATCCTTGCAACCCAATTCATAGTTTTTGTTCTTTGGAAAAATCCAAATCATGTATCATGAATACATATTTTTTCTCTATTGAGATTTGCCTGTTTTTATGTATCACAGCCAGAAGTAATCACTGCATAGTGTATTTCTGTAGAAAGATAGAAGAGTTCTATTTTAACACAATATTTACTATACACCCAGCAAAGGTCTAGGTATTTATACATACTATTTTATTTATTCATCTCATCAACGCAATGAAGAAATATTAATAAATCCATTATATATGTTAAAAGGTAGCGACACATATATGCTACATGTGCAGGTTTTCTCAGGTATTATTAGCTAGGGAAGCTGTGTTGTAACAATCTTCAAAAACTTCTTTCTGTTGTTTACATGCTATTCCACATCATTTTGTTTTCATTTCTTTTGTAGTATCTAATGTATTCTACTAAAAAAAAAAGTAGAGTAGTTGGAAAACTTGTGAAAAAAACATGTATTACATATATACCATTCTTCATGATTCTCAAAATTTTCATCATTATTAATGTTTTGTATATATATATTGTGTGTGTATGTATGCATGTTAGATATATAATTTAAAAGAAAACAATAAGTTGGTGGCTTATGGCAAATTGTTCCTTAAGTCCTGCATTTGAAACATAGACACTGAGTGAATCAGCACATTTGATCATCTTTTAACTACAATAGATGATTATACATTAAAAATACATTAACCATCCAAATACATCTTTTTTCTTATTTATTTATGTATGTATGTATGTATTTATTTATTTTTATTTTTTTGAGATGGAGTCTCTTTCTGTTGCCCAGGCTGGAGTGCAGTGGCGCGATCTCAGCTCACTGCAAGCTCCACCTCCCAGGTTCCCGCCATTCTCCTGCCTCAGCCTCCCGAATAGCTGGGACTACAAGCGCCCGCCACCATGCCTAGCTAATTTTTTTGTACTTTTAGTAGAGACGGGTTTTCACCATGTTAGCCAGGATGGTCTCGATCTCCTGACCTCGTGATCCGCCTGCCTTGGCCTTCCAAAGTGCTGGGATTACAGGCCTGAACCTCGGCGCCCGGCCCAAATGCATCTTTAGGAAAATTATATTTAAGCTCTTCATGGAGACATTAAAAAACCAAGCTTCATTAATGATAAATAATTATATCATTCATTAGTAAGGAGTAAATAGCTGTTTTCTATTTGAGAAGTATTAATTGGATTGTCCATCTGTATGCAGGAACATCTGTTTTCTGACATGCTTTAATCACCATTTGTTTTGTACTTGTACCATAATTACACTTGTTTGTAATATTGAACCGAGACAATGATTAAAATCAATTTATGAATACGATTCTTTTATGCTTTTGTATTTCATTAGAAAATGTGTAATTCTGGTATGACATTTATAAGTATATATAAAAGAAAGTATTTGATTAACAAAATGCCTCAACAGATGATGTCAGTAAAATGAGTGTTATATCATGCAGTCTATGTTACTATTTTGGCATTTTTAAGGAAAGTTTATTGCTTCACGGAAGCTTTTTTAACTGACCATCTATGAATTTTCTGTATTCTTTATTTCAGTGTGATCACATGGTCATAGAAGAGACATTTTTAGATCATCAGAAGTTGACAGTTTTCAGTGTAGTGTATGTGCTTAGTATAAGATGGAATTAAGTTTGTTGTATGGGTGATTGATGAATTTTTACTGAATCATGGATAACTGCTGTTCTATTAATGACATTTCATCAATCAACTCTTTTGGATATGGTTTATCACAAAATGTTGCTGATTTAATGTTTGTGGATTAACTGAGGTGAAAGTGATACCTGGTAGAAGTTTCATTAATACAAATTTTCCTCTCTTAGGAGTAGGATGGATTATATTATTTGTCGAAATGCCTTTGCATGTAAGTTCTTAACTGTCAGCTTTCTTGTCCTGTGAATCATATCTTTTCTGTATTTGCTGAAATAGAGACTTAACATTGTTAAATGATTTTTCCATGTCATGGAAAATGTATGCCTCTAAATCTGCGTTCCTTCCTACAAATTACAAGTTCAAAATGACTTTTTTTAAGAAACAAAAAAAAAGATGGATTTCTGGTATTTTGTGGCAGGATAAGCTCCCTGTAGCCTATCTTACATGTTGATTACAACTAAAACTATGAAAAGTACAATAAGCAACTAACTGAGGAATCTGAAAAGTAAATAAAAGTAGAATTATGAGTGATAGGCAAAATCTGGAGAAGCACCTTGCAGTAGTGTGAGCTTCCATTGTTGTATTTCTTTCAATCAAAACCAAAACAAACAAACAAAACAAATAAAAACCAGAAAAGAACACCACCAACAAGAAAACACTCAAGGAAAATAGATATTGTGATAGAAACAGCAGAAATGTCGAGAAACAAAACCAGGAGGTTAGAATTATTAGAGAAAATAATATAAAAAGTAATTTTAAAGTATCTAAACAAAATTTTAAAAAGGAATTTAAAAAATAAGCAAGGAGAAGACAATAAAAATAGGTTGATAATTCATTTGTTAGCATTTGTCTGTTTGGTATTTGTTGACCATTTTATTTTTAAAACATTTGGCTATATTTGATTTTGGTGTATTTCTTGTATATGTATTGTAAAATTTAGTATTAAATATTTTATATTGTTAAATGATAATTTATTTTTATTGATAAGAAAGATGTAGTTTTCTGGTTGTTATTTTTGTAATTTTACCTGCATTTATATTTTTCTCCATTTATTTAGATAATACCTAATGGTTCCCCACAATGAGTGGCAATTAAATTAGACTCTTTGCTATTTTCACTTTCTCAACTTCTCCTGAACTATTTGATTTTTGTGGCAGGATATTTCTTAATATTTGCCTTTGTGCCACTTAATGTTTTCATACTATTATGGGCAAATTTTGAGATTTAAAATGAACCCATTACTCTCAGCTATTATAGACGAGGCAATCAGGGAGCTAATTCCTACTTTCCCCTTTCTTTTACTCTGTCCTCCTAGTTGTTACAGTTGAATCATTTGTACATTATCAGAATCATCAGTAAAATATCTTTTTACATTTTCTACACCATGTATCCCTTAAATCTATATATGATGCATTGAATGCTTACCTCTTGCCTTACTGGTAGTATTTTACCTACTCAGAACTAGGTTGATTGAACTTTGTCCTGTGGTAAATCTCTTAATAAGAACTTTCTGTAAACAGTGTTCCCTGCAATTATGGGTGCTTATAACTGTACACTTTATAGCTGATAGATATCTTGCAAGGATAAGGATAACCATTTGCTTCTCCCTTCTCTTCTTTCTCAATATTTCCCCCCATTTTCTGGTGTTAACTTTTGCTGTGGAAAACTCTGATGCCAAAATGATTTTCTTTTTCTCTAAGTTGACTATTTTTGCTTAAGCCCCCACATAATGCTTTCTTAATCTTTAAAGTCCTAGTCCCATACACAGATATATCTTGGTGTTGAACATTCTAATAACATATATAAGCATATACTACACAGTAATGTAAATATATGTGCTTATGATGATCTATCTTGGCTTAATATAGGCAATAACTTTTTTCTAATTCTATCCTATGTTTTACAGTTTTTGGATTTTTGGACGGGGAGAGGACTTATTACATATTCTTCTCTCACTTACACCCTTTACGACCCTTACATTATTTGGGGTTCAGTCTCCCTTGTTCTCTTTACAATTTAGTTTTTTTTTTTTTCCTACAATGATTTTGTTTTTAAATCCTATTTCTTTCATGGATTCTGCCAGTTGCTATTGCACTTTCTGGCTATCTCTTCCCCATGCTCTTGCATTTCACTTCATGGTCTCTTTATGTTTTATTACACCCTTAAAATTTATGTTGGAATGTATAAATGTTCATTCCTTTTTTCATCTGTTTTGTAGCAACATGTTTCTAGTTATTACAAGAGTTGATATATTCCTTTTTTATCTTTATTCTTAGAGTATTTTTATGTGAATGCTGAGAAAATTCCTTTAGTATTTCTCATATGTGAAAGTTGAATTTCCTACAGGACAAAGGAAAGGGGTTGTAGAATGTGCCCCAGCCTGCTAGCTCAAGGGCCCTCTCATCATTTGCTACAGTGACAGACTGTTGCCTCATTTTGGGGACATTATGGAGTCACCGCTCGTTCTCCATAAGAGCATAAATGATTACCAGGTAGTTGTTACTGTCTTCTCTCCTTGATACTCATACATAACTCATAGCACATATGGAAGCAACCTTCTAAATACCCATGTTTTATCTTTAAAATGTTCTTTGTGTGTAGCTGCCCATTTGTTTTGTGCTAACTGACTGCCCCTATTACCTTCAGTTGTAACAACCCATTTAAGGTAGAAACGAAGGACACTCATCTCCATGTGTTTTCAGAATTTAAATGAAAAAATAAAAAGAGGCTGATGTCACGTCCCAGTTTAACGTAGGGGTTTTATTTATTTATGTACACTCAATCAAACTATGACTATTACAAATGGTTTTACCGCTACAATAAAGATAGTTAATTCATAGCTCAATAAAAATGAAGAGTGAAAGATTAAAAAAGGAAAGCAACAATTCTAAACTATAAAATCTACTTCAAAAAGCTACATACAGCAAAGCTCAATAAATAAATTATGAAAAAAAAAATATGGGATAAGTTTTATGGTTTAGGAGATACCTTCCTATAAGCCAAAAACCTAAAAAAAATGCTAAAGGTATAGCTTGCTATAGTACGTCGTAGGAGAAATTAACATGTATAAAATCAATAACATTCACATTATGTGATAGTCTACAGCCAAACAATAATAGAAAGCAAGTGAAATGCTTAGCATAGCTATTTAGTCTACTAAATTAGGTTTGTGAAAATGGGAATGCCAAATGCCTTAAGGCTTACAGCAGGTGCAAAAGCAAAACATCAGAGGTCAACCTAAGGATATTTTTAATATAAAATTAATGTACCTGCATTGTAAGCATTTTTTTTTGTATGGTAGAAAGGAAAAAATTCTTGTATTATTCTACTATAAATGTGTATTCTTTGCTCTACTAAATTTGCATGTCATTGTCAGCCTTTCACTTTGTCTTCAGCTAACAAGAACCTCTTGGGTTCATCCTTTGGAGAACCTGATATCATGGAAAATGGACTGAACTAGGAGAAGAGCCTTTGTTTAGACCACATGCTGAGGTCTAGTGGCTTCAATTAAAAATATATAAATGTGGCCGGGCACAGTGGCTCACGCCTGTTAACTCCAGCACTTTGGGATTCTGAGGCGGGCAGATCACGAGGTCAGGAGTTCAAGACCAGCCTGACCAACGTGATGAAATCCCGTCTCTACTAAAAATACAAAAATTAGCTAGGCATGGTGGCACGTGCCTGTAATCCCAGCTACTCAGGAGGCTGACGCAGGAGAATCGCTTGAATCCCGGAGGCGGAAGCTGTAGTGAGCCAAGATCATGCCATTGCACTCTAGCCTGGGACGACAGAGTGAGACTCCATCTCAAAAAAAAAAAAAACAATTATGTGTGTGTGTGTATATATATATATATATATATATATATATGCTTAATCTCTAAGCTTTGGAAGGAACAGCCTATCTACAGAAAAATTTAAAACTTGGTCATGGCAGGTACAGAGCTGGGCCCCATGAATTTTGTTGACATTGGGGTCAGCAGATTCTGTAAATTTTCACTATACCTCTCATATGATCTGCCGCCACACCATTCATACTCTTTTAACTTTATTTCTCCTCATACCAGTAAATTACTAAAACTGCCAAGTTTTTTTTTCACAAATTAGTATTTTTAGCATTCTCTTCCTTCAGTCTGCAATGAAATTCTCTACTCCCCTCCCTCCTCCTTCCTCCTTGACTCCCACTAATGCACATTTGTGTTTTGGTTTCCACACCAAATGAGCTACCTTCAATAAGCATCCCACAACTCCACAGGGAACTTTTGTTTCTCTACCTTCTGTGCTGTGGAAGCACTTGGCTCAGAATGAGAGATCTGTCTGCATTTCAGATCTACAAATTACTCATTGTGTGACCTTGGACATATCCCTAATATTTTTGAGCCTCAGTTTCTCAAAAATTAGAATAAAGATACCAAACTCCTGGGGTTTTGTGAGAGTAAAATGAGACGATGTGTGTAAGAGACTCAGTGCAGTGTCAGTATCTACCATGTGCTATGCACTCTGCGTTTTCTTTTTTTTTTTTTTTTTTTTTTGAGACGGAGTCTCGCTCTGTCACCCAGGCTGGAGTGCAGTGGCGTGATCTTGGCTCATTGCAAACTCTGCCTCCTGGGTTCAAGAGATTCTCCTGTCTCAGCCTTCGAGTAGCTGGGACTACAGGCCCTTGCCACCACGCCTGGCTAATTTTTGTATTTTTAGTAAAGACAGCGTTTCACCATATTGGTCAGGCTGGTCTTGAACTCCTGACCTCAGGTCATCCACCCACCTCGGCATCCGAAAGTGCTGGGATTACAGGTGTGAGCCACCATGCCCGGGCCAACCCATAGCCTTTTGGTCTTCTCTCAGCCAAGGCATCCAGTGAAAATGCAATTTATTTTTCAGATTCCTCTGGAGAATTAAAAAGTCTCTTTTGCGGCTGGACACAGCAACTCCTGTAATCCCAGCACTCTGGGAGGCTGAGGCAGGCAGATCACAAGGTCAGGAGATCGAGACCATCCTGGCCATGGCCAAAATGGTGAAACCTGTCTCTACTAAAAATACAGAAATTAGCTGGGTGTGGTGGCACAGGCCTGTTGTCCCAGCTACGTGGGAGGCTGAGGCAGGAGAATTGCTTGAACCCAGGAGACGGAGGTTGCAGTGGGCCAAGATTGAGCCACTGCACTTGCTCTGGTGAAAGAGCAAGACTCCGTCTCAAAAAAAAAAAAAAAAAAAAAAAAGTCTCTTTTGCATCAAATTGCCATACTCTCTGCTCTTGGTCCTCTTTTCCATGTACTCATTCTTCAAGCATTTATTTTCTCATTGCCTGATCCAGATCATTGCAATGACCAAAAAATGTTCGGATGCTATGATTTTTGTGATATTCTTTTAGCAAGTTAATCACGATGTTGCATTCTTGAGTGTGCAAGTGTGGAGGTAAGTCAGGATGCATCTTTAAGACAAAAAGATGGGTCACGGCAGTGCCACACCACTCACGGCCACACCAGGAGAGCTGAAAGTCACCAACGAAGATGCCTGACCCAGAAGCTGGCTGCTAGGGAGCCAAGCCAGGTCACTCCACATGTGGCCAATGCCCGGGGATGGCCCTCCACCGCCCAAGCTTATTATTATTACTATTATTATTATTTTGAGATGGAGTCTGGCTCTGCCTCCCAGGCTGGAGTGCAGTAGCACGATCTCGGCTCACTGCAACCTCCGCCTCTGGGGTTCAAGCGATTCTCCTGCCTCAGCCTCCCGAGTAGCTGGGACCACAGGCACGTGCCACCTCACCTGGCTAATTTTATTTTTTGAATAGACAGGGTCTTGTTATGTTGCCCAGGCTGGTCTTGAACTCCCGGGCTCAAGCGATCCTCCCACTTCAGCCTCCCAAAGTGCCAAGACTACAGGTGTGAGCCACCACACCTGGCCAAGTTCTACTTTTCTAATATTTAAAATATGAAATAGGCCGGGCACGGTGGCTCACACCTGTAATCCCAGAACTTTGGGAGGCTGAGGCGGGCAGATCACCAGAGGTCAGGAGTTCGTGACCAGCCTGGCCAACATGATGAAACCCCGTCACTACTGAAAATACAAAAATTAGCCAGGTGTGGTAGCAGATGCCTGTAATCCCAGCTACTCGGAAGGCTGAGGCACCTAAACCGGGGAGGTGGAGGTTGTAGTGAGCCGCTACCATGCCACTGCACTCCAGTCTCGGCGACGCAATGAGACTCTGTCTCAAAAAAAAAAAAAATAGATGATGTCAGTGATTTCTATTACATGAGGTCTGGAAGCACTCTGTACGTGATTGCTCCACGTTTAGTGGTGCTAAGTTCAAATAATTCAGGTGGTGAGAAACTGACTTCCGTAGGAGTGCGGGTGTGCGTGCGTGCCGCGGAAATCCCGCCTTCTGGCACCTGCGGTTGCCCCCTGGCCTCAGCCGGTGGGCTCCCAAGTAGGAAGATAAACCGCATTGCAGGAAGCGGGAGAGTCCGGAGGAGCGGCGAAGCGCTCCTCTTCCCCATTGGCTGCGCCCACGGAGCCGCCTTGCGATTGGCCCTAAGCGCGGGTGGCGGGGGTCGGGAGAGGCGTCAGGATCCCTGGCGCCGCCTGAGCCAGCGGCTGCTAGGAGGCTGTGTCCGCAAGCCAGCGGGGCGAGGCGGCTGGGCCCTGCGCGTCAGGTCCCGGCCTGGGGCACCGGGGCTGCCAGCGTCGGAGGAGGTGCGGGCGCTGGGTTGACGGGCGGCCGAACGGGGGGCCTGCGCGGACCGCCCGCGGCGCAGCCTTGGGTCTGTCTCCATGTCTAAGTGGTGGTGGCTGTGGGTTTTTCTGCAGGTGATCCTTTTGAGTAATTTGTTTCACGCAGGCGCCCTGCTGTAGGGTAAAGCGGCAGATTCGTGCTGCTGTCATTTGTCGTTCAAACTGTGGGCTTCTTGACCAGGCGCGGTGGCTCAAGCCTGTAATCCCAGCACTTTGGGAGGCCGAGGCGGGCGGATCACGAGGTCAGGAGATGGAGATCATCCTGGCTAACACGGCGAAACCCTGTCTCTACTAAAAATACAAAAAATTAGCTGGGCGTGGTGGCGGGCGCCTGCAGTCCCAGCTACTCGGGAGGCTGAGGCAGGACAATGGTGTGAACCCGGGAGGTGGAGCTTGCAGTGAGCTGAGATTCCGCCACTGCACTCAAGACTGGGTGACAGAGGGAGACTCCATCTCAAAACAAAACAAAAAACGATGGGCTTTCTGTCATGTGTGTGTGTACCTTTTGGATTTGAGGGCAGGGGGATGACATTGTGATCTGGCCTCCTGAGAAACCAGGCACACCCTGCCTACCTTGGAAGGAGGCTTTCCCTTCCCCACCTCCCTCTCCCTCCATCTGTTCCCTCTTTCCCTCTCTGCACTTCACTCCGGTCCCCCAGCTCTTCTCTCCCATCTTTTTGTTCTCTGTCTCTCTCTTTTGTTTTTTTTCTGCATTAAACCTTTCCGGAGTGTCTTTGTAAAATAGTAAAAAGCGTTAGGTCTTCAACATGTATGTTTACTTGCAGGCCTGAGAACTGGGAGGAAGCTGGAGAAAAGATGCCCTCTGAATCTTTGTGTTTGGCTGCCCAGGCTCGCCTTGACACCGAATGGTTGAAAACAGATATACAGGTGGGGTTTGACATGTGTTTTTCTTGGTGTATTTCTGCTTCCATGTTTAAATTTCTCGTGTAAGGCTTTTTTTTAGGGTATGTAAGGGGAAGTCAGTTGTATCTTGCTATATTAGAGGATCAGGTTTGTTTCCTGTAACTTAAAATGTAACAGTCTTCATGGCTGTTTTTGTAGATCGTGCAGGGCTGCCTTTTAATTAGTTTCTTGCAAGTGCAGGAAACGAGATTTATTAATAGGCAAAATTTTTTTCTTAATTATTATTACTGGTTGAGAAATCTGCTACACTCCTAACCATATCATGGTGACTGTTGTTTGTTACTGATAGTTTTTGAGCTGTTGAGTTAACTGTGGAGGGCAAAATTGGAGAAGTAAGTTGCAGTAATTATGGCCGCTAGAAACTCACTCCTTTTATGAGGTCTTTTGTTTGTGTTTCTGGAGAGAAAAGAGTTAGTTCAGTTGAGCTGTTTGTTTTGTATTTGTAACCAATACAAGGACTGAGGACAATTATGTTGAAACTGAGGTCATAATGTTGGGATCTTAAGGGCTGAAGGTTCCAAATAAATGGTATGTATAGAATTCTCTCTGACTTGAAATTTTCCCTTTCCGGACCTCCAGATGCTGAGGCTAGGAGTGTCCATATGACAGTGCCTTCCATGACTGGAGTCAGCAACCTTTTTTTTTTTTTTTTTACACGTATCAGTAATTCATTCTCTATATTTTGAAAAGTTTTAACCTCTTCTTCCTAGCCCTCCAGTATTTGTTAATAAATTAAAACGTTTCCCAAAGTGTTTTTTGTGAAACAATAATTCTAAAAGATGCTCTAGAAAAGCTAAGTACATGGAAAAATCCAAAGTGTATATTTTATTTATTACATTTCATGAATTTTTGTTTTTGTTTTTTCCTCTTGAGAGGGAGTCTTGCTCTGTCTCTCAGGCTGGAGTGCAGTGGCATGATCTTGGCTCACTGCAACCTCCGCCTCCTGGGTTCAAGCAGTTCTCTGCCTTAGCCTCCAGAGTAGCTAGGATTACAGGTGCCCTCCACCACGGCCAGCTAATTTTTGTGTTTTTAGTAGAGACAGAGTTTCACCATATTGGCCAGGCTGGTCTTGAACTCCTGACCTCATGATCCACCCTCCTTGGCCTCCCAAAGTGCTGGGATTACAGGTGTGAGCCACTGTGCCTGGACCACATTTGATGACTTTTTTTGTCCTTTGTTCTTTTAAAAATCATGGTTAGAAAGCAGAGCATAATTGTTCTTTACGTAGAACCCAACTGATTGGGGTTTTTAGGGAGACGTTTTGACATTCAGTAAATGTTTTTGTTTTCCATTATTAAGACTATGAATTTTTTATTTTACTTTCTGAGACAGGGTCTTGCTCTGTTGCCCAGGCTGGAGTGCAGTGGCGTGATCTTGGCTCACTGCAACCTCTGCCTCCCGGGTTCAAGCAGTTCTCCTGCCTCAGCCTCCCGAGTAGCTGGCATTACAGGTGCCCGCCACCACTACCCTCCCCCTTTCAGGTTCAAGCGATCCTCTGCCTCAGCCTCCTGAGTAGCTGGGATTACAGGTGCACGCCAGCATGCCCGGCTAATTTTTGAATTTTTAGTAGAGACGAGGTTTCACCGTGTTGGTTAGATTGGTCTCGAATTCCTGACCTTGTGATCCACCCGCCTCGGTCTCCCAAAGTGCTGGGATTACAGGCCTGAGCCACATTTTTAGTAGAGATGGGGTATCACTATGTTGGCCAGGCTGCTCTGGAACTCCTGACCTCAAGTGATCCCCTCACCTCGGCTTCCCAAAGTGCTAGGATTACAGATGTAAGCTACCACGCCTAGCCGTATTTTGTATTTTTAGTAGAGATGGGGTTTTGCTGTGTTGGCCAGGCTGGTCTTGATCTCCTGGGTGCAAGTGATCATCCCACATTGGCCTCTCAAAGTGCTGGGATTACAGGCATGAGCCACCACACCTGGCCAATGGGAGGTCTCGCTTCCCTTCTCTCCAGCATTCCATAAGCAATGTGTTTCGGTAGTATGTGTTCGATTTTCTCTATGTATACTTTGAACCCTACAGTAGTGAAAGGAAGAGTAGACAACTTTGAAGTTGTTGTGGTGTGGTCTTTGAGCTGGTGGTGCTAATTACTCTTGGTTGTTTTCGTGGCCTCCAGTGACTTCATCCTGCTTTTGCTGTTGTAAAGTGTTGTAATTTATGCTCCTGAGAATAACTCTTGAGGTGTACTTAGGGTTCTTGTCTGCTTCCCGGTGACTGTCGAAGCTTTTCATCTTGAAGAAGGGAGATGAGCAGTGTTCCAGTACACTGAGTTTAAAATTAAGAATGTTGCATTTTTTTAATGTGTAAAATTTATAGCCAGCTGTAGGGTAGGGGTGGCCTACTTTCTCTAAAGGGCCAGAAAGTAAATATTTTAAGGTCTCAATGGACCCTATGGTCTCTGTCATAGCCATGAGACCTTGCAGATTTAGTGCCAAAGTAGCCACAGACAATACCACGTCAGCGGGCAGGGGACGTTCATTCTGTAAAGTGTATTTATGGACACCAAAAGATGAAGTCCACCGAATGTTTGCAAGTCACAAAATACTGTTTTTCTTTTGAATGTTTTTCAATTATTAAAAAATATAAAATACAGTGGCCGGGCATGGTGGCTCACACCTGTAATCCCAGCACTTTTAGAGGCTGAGGCAGGCGGATCACCTGAGGTCAGGAGTTCGAGACCAGCCTGGCCAGCATGGTGAAACCCCATCTCTACTAAAAACAAAAAATTAGCGGGGCATGGTGATGCACGCCTGTAATCCCAGCTCCTCGGAGGCTGAGGCAGGAGAATCACTTGAACCTGGGAGAATCGCTTGAGCCTGGGAGGCAGAGGTTGTGATGAGCCAAGACTCTGTCTCAAAAGAACAACAAAAATAAAATACTTTCTCTGCGTTCAGACCATACACAAAGAGGCTGTGGGCTGGGTTTGGCCCCTGGGCTGTGGTTAGTGACCCCAAACACACACACACATACACACACGTAGGGCAGAGTCTGGCATTTAGAGCCAGCACCTGTGTTCTCACCTGAGCTGTGTTCCTGGCTGGGTTCTGCTGTGTATTCTGTGACCCAAGATGTCTGTCTACCTTGGTAAACTGGAGACAACAAAGCCTGCCTCCTTCAAGGTTGTTTGTAAAGATTTAAAAGGGTAATGTATTGTTGTTAGGCCAGATGCTTTGCATAGTACATGTTAGGTTATTTTCACTTTTTTTTTTTTTTTTTGAGACAGAGTCCTACTCTGTTGTACAGGCTGGAGTCCAGTGGCGAGATTCCAGCTCACTGCAACCTCTGCCTCCCAGGTTCAAGCAATTCTCCTGCCTCAGCCTCTCGAGCTGCTGGGATTACAGGTGGCTGCCACCATGCCAGGCCAATTTTGATATTTTTAGTAGAGATCGGGTTTCACCATGTTGGCCAGGCCGGTCTCAAACTCCTGACCTCAAGTGATCCACCCACCTCGGCCTCCCAACGTGGTGGGATTACAGGCGTGAGCCACCGCATCTGGCCCATTTTCACTTTCCATTAGCTGCTTTTTTCCCCCATTCATTTCCTACCTTTCTGTGTATGATTTCTGAATTAAATGTATTTCATGTCTTAACCTTCTGAATTGTTTGTCCTCTCATTTTCCATGTTGTTAAGGAAAATAAGAGGCTAAGTGAGACGTATTAAATTTGTATGTAGTTTCTCAGATCAGGATAAATGCTCACCTGTTGCAGAACGGGACTCTGCTCTTGCTTCACCCAGGATGCCTTTCCTAGTTCCTTCCTAGAGTGGGGCTGCACCCTACTCCAGCCCTCCAGACCCAGCTCCCTGCTCTGACATGATTCCACCAGACCGTATTCCAGCTGTTCTCCCTGGACCTAGATATTTTCCTTCTTTTTTTTTTTTTTTTTTTCCTGAGATGAAGTCTCACTCGGTGGTCCAGGCTGGAGTGCAATGGTGTGATCTCGGCTCACTGCAACCTCCGCCTTCCAGGTTCAAGCCATTCTCCTGCCTCAGGCTCCCAAGTAGCTGGGATTACAGGCACGTGCCACCAAGCCTGGGTAATTTTTGTATTTTTAGTAGAGACAGGGTTTCACCATGTTGGCCAGGCTGGTGTCGAACTCCTGACCTTGTGATCCACCCGCCTCGGCCTCCCAAAGTGCTGGGATTACAGGTGTGAGCCACCACACCCACCCAGCCAACATATTTTTATTAAAAAACTTATATGAAATTTATTTTATTGTGGTATGTAGTTCAGTAAATTTTGACCTCTATAGATTCGTGTAACCCCCATCATCATCAGGGTGGAGAATTTTCTTCACCCCGAAAGCTCCCTTGTGCTGCTCCTTTTTATCACGTGTTCCCTGGTCTCATACCCTGGCAACCACTGATCTGTTCTCCATCAGTATAGGGTATTCTTTTTGAGAATGTCATGTGAGTGGAACCATATTTTAAGTAACGTTTTGAAACCATCTTCATTTACTCCCAGTTATATGTTTGAGATTTATCTGCTGTTCTATGTATTAATAGTTGTTTTTATTGCTGATTAGTATTTCATCATTTGGATGTACCACATGGTGTTTATCCATTCTGCCATTGTAGGACCTTGTGGTTGTTTCCATTTTTCTTTCCCAATTGTAATCCTACTGTGAGCATTTCTCTACAGATTTTATGTGAATATAGTTTCCATTTCCCTAGGATAAAGACCTAGTAGTGTGAAAGTTGGGTCATGTGCTGAACTGTTTTCCGAAGTGGCTGTTTTAGTTTGCATTCCCACTGGCAATCTGTCACGTTTCTGTTGCTCTGTGTCTTTGTTAGCACTTGGTGTTATCAGTGTTTTTTAGTTGAGCCATTCTAACAAGTCTAGTGGGATCTCATTGTGGTTTTAATTTGCACTTCCGTAATGGCTAAGAATGCTGAATATCGTGTTCTTCTTTGCCACTCTTGTATCCTCTGTGAAGTTTCTGTTCAGATCTTTTGCACAGAAAAAGCTGTATCATGGAACCAGTAAAATAACCAAGGAGAGGTTGATTAAAGTTCTGTTTATAACCCTAGAAGATTCCTGCCCTAGGGATATGGGATGGCTGAACGTAGGACACCGACACTGGACAGATGAAATAGCAGTTTATTAGTCACGCATGCTCACAGCCCTGGGGTGGGGGATACCGCATGCCATTCAGTTAATGATGTGTGTTGTAACTTTTCGGGGAGGGACATTTGCAGAGACTAATGGTATGACATTCTGAAAAGCGGTGACAGATTAAAAAATTTTTTAATTCTGCAGATGATAGTGTCGAACCAAGTGGAACAAAGAAAGAAGATCTGAATGACAAAGAGAAAAAAGATGAAGACGAAACTCCTGCACCTGTATATAGGGCCAAGTCAATTCTGGAGACCTGGGTGTGGGTCAAGCAACCAGGTAATCTTCTGAGTTTTGGCATTTTGGAAAGCTTGATCTGACGCTCCTTTTCTAAATAACTTGGATGGATTATTCGTATTTTTTGGTAACAATTTAAAAAAATGTAATTAAAAAAATTTAAATATTGTGGTAAAATATACATACCTTAAAACTTGCCATTTTAATCATTTTTATGTGTACAGTTCATTGGCATTAAGTATATTCACATTATTGCCCAGCCATCACCACCATCCATCTCTACAACTTTTGCCCTTTCTCCAACTGAAACTCCGTATCCATGAAACACTAACTCCTTCTGTCCCCAGGCAACCACCATTCTACTTTTGTCTCAGAATTTGACTACTCAAGGTGTCTCCTATAAGGGGAATCATACAGTATTTGTCCTTTTGTGACTGGGTTATTGAACTTCCTAGGTGTTTGGGGTTCATCCGCATGTGTCAAAATTTTCTTTTAAAGGCTCAATGCTATTCCATTATATATGTAAGCCACATGTTATCCCTTCAGTGGGCAATCAGGTTGCTTTCATCTCTTGACTGTTGTGAGTAATGCTGCTATGAACACTGGTTTACGAGTGTCTTGAGTGTCTGCTTTTAATTCTTTGTGGCTATACCTAGGAGTGGAATTGGTCAATAATGTGGAATGCTTACATATTTATTTTTTTTGAGATGGCATCTCGCTCTGTCGCCCAGGCTGGGGTGCAGTGGCGCCATCTCAGCTCACAGCAAGCTCCGCCTCTCGGGTTCACGCAATTCTCCTGCCTCAGCTTCCTGAGTAGCTGGGACTACAGGCGCCCGCCACCATGCCTGGCTAATTTTTTTGTATTTTTAGTAGAGACTGGGTTTCACCGTGTTAGCCATGATGGTCTCCATCTCCTGACCTCGTGATCCACCCGCCTCAGCCTCCCAAATTGCTGGGATTACAGGTGTGAGCCACCGCACCTGGCCAATAATGTGGTAGTTAGATTTATGTTTAACTTATTATTGTTGTTTTTGAGATTGGGTCTCACTCTGTCACTCAGGCTGGAATGCGTTGATGTAATCATAGCTCACTGCAGCCTTGAGCTCCTGGGCTCCAGTGACCTTCTTGCCTCAGCCTCTCAAGTAGCTAGGACTAGAGGCGCAGGGAATTTCTCATCTTCTCTCTACTGCCTCTGAGTTGGAGATGTCAGAGGGAGCCATGGCCCACTGTAAAGTAACACAATGTCCCCACCCACAGGGTTAGAACCCCTCTTCTGGTGGCAGCTCTGAGGGGAGCAGTCACATGTGGAGAGTACAGGGCTCTGTGTCCAGCTGGGGGAAGGAGGTTACCAAGGGGGTTGACCCCCCTCTGGCCAGGTGGCTGCCTTCTGACACACCAGTCTCTCTCTCTAGCACGGTGGCCCCTACACACCCAGCCTGTCAAACCTTCAGCCCTCAGGAAGGCTTTGGCCAAATCCATGAGCGGCTCCCTCTGTTAAGAAGGAAGCACAGCTGAAGCATGAGGAGGGCAGTAGAGTGTGTATGCTCTGCCGCGTCTCCCCACAGTCTGACCAGAAGGAAGGGGCCTTTCAGCCAGGCTCACCCAGGCTGGGGTTGGAGTGTCAGCATCAAGCCAATGTCTTCTTGCTTAATGAGTGAGCCCAGCTGCTCCCGTGCAGCTGCCACCATAGTGAGGGTGAACCAGCAGGAGGCTCCACGGCACTTTCAGGCTCAGGCTGCCTGGTGAGATCTACTCTGTGGGCTCTGTAGGCTGGTAGAGGCTTCCAGGAGGAGGAGGGGATGCAGCCACCAGTCCCCACTCCTGGGAGTCGTATTTCTGAAAGCTTGGGTATACAGTAAATATTAGGCTGTGGGCTGGTTTATCTATGGATTTGATGTGGGAGGGTTATAGGTACAAGCAGTTTAAAGATGGAAATTTTGAGAGAACAGGAAGGGATTTAGTGCTGGGTAAGGCAAGCAGGCTTGTCAAAGCAGCTCTTTTGGGGAGGCCAGAATCCTGTACAAATGTCCTCAGCATGTTCATCAGCTGCTGGGGGAGTGCCGGACAGGATGAAAGCACAGGAGAACTTTCTGGATGATAAATGTTCCATATCTTCAAAGGAGGTGGGTTACATGGGTAATGCATTTGTTAAAAGTCATCAAAATGTAAACCAGATCTGTGCATTTCACGGAATAGGAATTATACCTCAAATTAGAAACATTTATAAAAAGACAGATGGGCTGGATGCAGTGGCACACGCCTGTAATCCCAGCACTTGGGGAGGCCGAGGCGGGTAGATCACATGAGTCAGGAGCTCGAGACCAGCCTGGACAACATGGTGAAATCCCGTCTCTACTAAAAATATAAAAATTAGCCAGGGGTGGTGGCATACGCGTGTAATCCCAGCTACTTGGGAGGCTGAGGCAGGAGAATTGCTTGAACCCAGGAGGTGGAGGTTACAGTGAGCAGAGATTGTACCACTGCACTAGAGCCTGGGCAACAGAGTGAGACTCCATCTCAAAAAAAAAAAAAAAGGGTTTTCAACATTCATTAAAGGCAGAGTAGCTTGTTATAGACTAGCCTCCCCACAGGAACAGTTAGAAAAACTGGACAAAAATGTGTCCCCCCTTCCCCCCACCATCAAAAACAATTGTTGGAAGGTAATTGGGGACCTCAGCCAGGACTTGAGTGACCAGGCCTAGGAGGTGATCCTGACAGTCCTTAGTGCTTTTCCCACATTTGGTGATTGGTCAACAGTAGAGGGCTAAGAGGCTAAGAAACTGAGTATGAAGTGATAGTTAAGAGGCTGGAGAGCCTAGCTGAATGTTTGGCACTCTCACAGGGCTGAAATGACATAATGAGAATTTGGGTCCCAGTAAGGAGATGAGACCTTGGTGGGGATCCTGGAAGGGCCACCCCTAAGAGTCCAAAAGAATAAAAAATAGACCAGCTGTCACAAAAACTAAAACCTGCTTTGAGCCAGCTTAGTCCCAAACTAGATGAAAGCGATCTGCTTGAACGCCAATTGTGTGCCATAAAGTCAAAGTCAATACTCTCTGGAGACACATAAAACTTTACTAGGCATGCCATAAGACAAGACAACACAAGACGAAAGGAGAAAACAAACAAAAAAAACAATAGAAACATACATAGATATTAGAGTCCTCAGGTAGAAAAATTTTTTTTTTTTTTTGAAATGGGAGTTTCACTCTGTCACCCAGACTGGAGTGCAGTGGTGTGATCTCGGCTCACTGCAACCTCAACCTCCCACGTAGCTGGGATTGGTGATCCACCTGCCTAGGCCTCCCAAAGTGGTGTGATTACAGGTGCAGGCCACCGTGCCCGGCCAGTATTTTGCCACAATTTAAAATACATTTTCTTTTTTTCAAGTTTGTTCTCAGACTATATTCACAAGGTCACATGGCGGCTTACACTTCTGTAGGCCTTGTTGACCGTTCTTTTTAGATATTGATGATCTTGATCTTTTTCTTGTCTCCTCGGTAGAAGAATGGGATGCAGGAGGTGCTGCCTAAGCCTGGGCGCTCCTGGGCGTTCTTCATTCCAGGGGGCAGCTGCATGATCTGCTGTGCAGTGTGGTGGTCATGGGAATAACCCTTCCCGGCTTCTCGTGCAGGCTCCAGGCTGCCAGGGTGGCTCATATCACAAGGATATTTGGAGGGAGGGAGGCAGGGCTCTGAGCACCGCTCCTCCTGCATCTTCTCCTCCTGCTCTCCCATCCTCTCCTTCTTCTCCCCCATCTTCTCCACCTGCCCCCGGATCTTCTCCTCCTCCTCCTGCATCTTCTCATACTCATCCCACAGCCTCTCCTCCTTGAATCGCAGCCTCTCGACCTGCTTCCGCATCTGCTCCTCCTGCTCCCCCATCTGCTCCTCCTGCTTCCTCATCTGCTCCTCCTGCTCCCCCATCTGCTCCTCCTGCTTCCGCATCTGCTCCTCCTCCTCCCCCATCTGCTCCTCCTGATTCCTCATCTGCTCCTCCTGCTCCCCCATCTGCTCCTCCTGCTTCCGCATCTGCTCCTCCTGCTCCCACATCTGCTCCTCCTGCTCCCCCATCTGCTCCTCCTGCTCCCCCATCTGCTCCTCCTGCTTCCCCATCTGCTCCTCCTGCTCCCCCATCTGCTCCTCCTGCTTCCTCATCTGCTCCTCCTGCTCCCCCATCTGCTCCTCCTGCTTCCGCATCTGCTCCTCCTGCTCCCGCATCTGCTCCTCCTGCTCCCCCACCTGCTCCTCCTGCTTCCGCATCTGCTCCTCCTGCTTCCGCATCTGCTCCTCCTGCTTCAGCATCTGCTCCTCCTGCTCCCCCATCTGCTCCTCCTGCTTCCGCATCTGCTCCTCCTGCTCCCCCATCTGCTCCTCCTGCTCCCCCATCTGCTCCTCCTGCTTCCGCATCTGCTCCTCCTGCTTCCGCATCTGCTCCTCCTGCTTCAGCATCTGCTCCTCCTGCTTCAGCATCTGCTCCTCCTGCTCCCCCATCTGCTCCTCCTGCTTCCGCATCTGCTCCTCCTGCTCCCCCATCTGCTCCTCCTGCTCCCCCATCTGCTCCTCCTTCTCCCCCATCTGCTCCTCCTGCTTCTGCATCTGCTCCTCCTGCTCCCCCATCTGCTCCTCCTGCTCCCTCATCTGCTCCTCCTGCTCCCCCACCTGCTCCTCTTGCTCCCGCACCTGCTCCTCCTGCTCCATCTGCTCCTCCTGCTTCCGCATCTGCTCCTCCTGCTTTTGCACCTGCTCCTCCTGCTTCCGCATCTGCTCCTCCTGCTCCCCCATTTGCTCCTCCTGCTCCCCCATTTGCTCCTCCTGCTTCCGCATCTGCTCCTTCTGCTCCCCCATTTGCTCCTCCTGCTTCTGCATCTGCTCCTCCTGCTTCCGCATCTGCTCCTCCTGCTCCCCCATCTGCTCCTCCTGCTCCCCCATCTGCTCCTTCTGCTTCAGCATCTGCTTCTCCTGCTTCCGCATCTGCTCCTCCTGCTCCCCCATCTGCTCCTCCTGCTCCCGCACCTGCTCCTCCTGCTCCCCCATCTGCTCCTCCTGCTTCCGCATCTGCTCCTCCTGCTTCCGCATCTGCTCCTCCTGCTTCCGCATCTGCTCCTCCTGCTTCCGCATCTGCTCCTCCTGCTTCCGCATCTGCTCCTTCTGCTCCCCCATCTGCTCCTCTTGCTTCCGCATCTGCTCCTTCTGCTCCCCCATTTGCTCCTCCTGCTCCCCCATTTGCTCCTCCTGCTCCCCCATTTGCTCCTCCTGCTTCCGCATCTGCTCCTCCTGCTTCCGCATCTGCTCCTCCTGCTTCCGCATCTGCTCCTCCTGCTTCCGCATCTGCTCCTCCTGCTTTCGCACCTGCTCCTCCTGCTTTCGCACCTGCTCCTCCTGCTTCTGCATCTGCTCCTCCTGCTCCCCCATTTGCTCCTCCTGCTTCCGCATCTGCTCCTTCTGCTCCCACATTTGCTCCTTCTGCTCCCACATCTGTTCCTCCTGCTTCCCCATCTGCTCCTCCTGCTCCCGCATCTGCTCCTCCTGCTCCCGCATCTGCTCCTCCTGCTCCCGCATCTGCTCCTCCTGCTCCCCCGTCTGCTCCTCCTGCTCTGTCTGCTCCTTCTGCTTCAGCATCTGCTCCTCCTGCTCCCGCATCTGCTCCTCCTGCTCCCGCATCTGCTCCTCCTGCTTCCGCATCTGCTCCTCCTGCTTTTGCACCTGCTCCTCCTGCTTCTGCACCTGCTCCTCCTGCTCCCCCATTTGCTCCTCCTGCTTCCGCATCTGCTCCTTCTGCTCCCCCATCTGCTCCTCCTGCTCCTGCATCTGCTCCTCCTGCTCCCCCATCTGCTCCTCCTGCTCCCCCATCTGCCCCTCCTGCTCCCCCATCTGCCCCTCCTGCTCCCGCACCTGCCCCTCCTGCTCCCGCACCTGCCCCTCCTGCTCCCGCACCTGCCCCTCCTGCTCCCGCACCTGCCCCTCCTGCTCCCGCACCTGCCCCTCCTGCTCCCGCACCTGCCCCTCCTGCTCCCGCACCTGCCCCTCCTGCTCCCGCACCTGCCCCTCCTGCTCCCGCACCTGCCCCTCCTGCTCCCGCACCTGCCCCTCCTGCTCCCGCACCTGCCCCTCCTGCTCCCGCACCTGCCCCTCCTGCTCCCGCACCTGCCCCTCCTGCTCCCGCACCTGCCCCTCCTGCTCCCGCACCTGCCCCTCCTGCTCCCGCACCTGCCCCTCCTGCTCCCGCACCTGCCCCTCCTGCTCCCGCACCTGCCCCTCCTGCTCCCGCACCTGCCCCTCCTGCTCCCGCACCTGCCCCTCCTGCTCCCGCACCTGCCCCTCCTGCTCCCGCACCTGCCCCTCCTGCTCCCGCACCTGCCCCTCCTGCTCCCGCACCTGCCCCTCCTGCTCCCGCACCTGCCCCTCCTGCTCCCGCATCTGCTCCTCCTGCTCCCGCATCTGCTGCTCCTGCTCCTGCATTTGCTGCTCCTGCTCCCACAGCTCCTTCTCCTGGTCCCGCAGCCTCTGCTCCTGTCACCACATCTTCTCCTTGTGCTTCCGTAGCTTCTCCTGATCCTGTAGCTCCTCCTTCTGCCTCCACATCTTCTCCTGCAAAGTGTTGGTTTGAACCTCAAAAGGAAATAGAGTCATAAGCTAGGTATATAAATGTAATCTATAAAATAACGGTTTTCGTCTATGATTCTTTAAAAAGAAATTTTAAGCCCTAACCCTGAGGTTCTGATTTCCCAGGCATGGTCCCAAATTGTAGATTTTTAGCACACTCTAGAGGATTCTATGGTGGGACCAGAACAAGGACTCAAATTTTCCAGCTCTTGGCTGGAGCCTCCCCACACCCTGCATGATCCCTAGACCATGTCCCAGCCGGATGCGGCTCCCACACCCCCGGGGCTGCAGCCGCTCACCTGTGGCAGCGGGATTTTGTCCGTCTCCAGTTTCCTTTTTAGCTCCTTGATGTGGAGCTGGATCTCAGACTTTTCAGTTTCTACCAGTTGAAGTTCTTCTTGTAGTTCGGCATTTTTCTCCTTCAGCTCCTCATTGGTTATGCTATGGCCGGAGGCAGTAGAGAAAGGAATGAACGAAGAACAGAAAGGACCGCTTTGGTGATCGACCCTCTACCCTCGCCCCACAACCACAGAACCGTGGCATTGGAAGGGACCCCAGGAATTAAAAGTCCCAGGTGGCAGGCCAGAGAGAAGACATGAGTTGCCTGAGGCTACCCCATGAGTCAGTGGCACAGCCGTCACTGGAGCTTCCCTGCACACACATGTAAACCTGTATGACCCCCTACCATGCTCACCTGTACCCCCCACCTCCCAGCACACCACCCACGCTAAGGGCCCCCAGACCTCCCATCCCACCTTCCCCCATCCTACGTGTTCCTGTACAGTTCCAGACTCATGGCTTCCCTCTCCTTTGTTAACTCCTCGATGTACTGCAAATAGAGAAAGGTCAAGTCAGGATACAGCAGGCAGAGGAGCAGCTGGACGACCAGTAACGACAGCTACACTGATACTCCACAGTAACACTTGCTCCCTCTCAGTCACACCCGACATGTTCTCAAGGCGTTTCCAAACCCATGGTCTCATTTGTTTTTCCTTTCTTTTTTTTTTTTTTTTTTTGAGATGGAGTTTCGCTCTTGTTGCCCAGGCTGGAGTGCAATGGCGCGATCTCACCCCACCGCAACCTCCGCCTCCCGGCTTCAAGCGATTCTTCTGCCTCAGCCTCCTAAGTAGCTGGGATTACAGGCATGTGCCACTGCACCTGGCTCTCACTTGTTTTTCAGAGAACTCAGTAAGGGTGGAAGGCACAGGGAAAGAGACTGAATTGATAGCTGGCTAACGGGCCCAGAGCGATCAGATAATATTGCTATTGTTATTACTGTTATTACTACCACTGTTGGAACCTTTCTTGAGTGCTTCACCAGGCACTATGCTAACAATCCCATTTAATCCTCACAGCCACCACAGGAGACAGTTATCATTATCACCTCTATTGTGTAGATGAAGAACATGGGGTATTAAAGGTTAAGTGCTTGCCTAAGATCACTTAGAGCTGGGATTTCAACACCCAGGTATATCTGATTCTCTAAACCCATTCTTTTGGTTGGGGGTAGGGGCACAGATAAGGAGGAGGAAATTAATCCTTTGTTGATTTTTGAAAGAATGATACATTGGCATAGTCCAAACCTCAGAAGGTACAGAAGGGAAATATCTTCCCCCAACACTGTTCCTCTCTCCTGAGTTTTTTATGAATCCTTACAAACATGTTTTATGTATATTACCATAATACGTACGTACACACACACACACACACACACACCCACGTACATGTGTTCCCTCTCTCTACACAAATGGTAACATACTAAAGATACTCTTCTGTACCTTCATGGTACAAGTACCCTCAACTCCACCTAGGATTTGACCAAGGCCACAGCCAAGTATGGGTGGGGTGGGCACTTGGCCTCCGAGCTCTGTGTCCAGTGCTCGCTCCCCACAGCGCCCCGCAACTCACCCACAGCAGCTGACTCAGCCCCAACCTGCCTCTAACAACCACGCACAAAAGCAGCAAGAAATGGCCCATGCTGTCTTCTGGGCAGGACACTGCATTCTGCAGAAGGGACCTTTAGGCTCATTCCTCCATCTGCGAAGCTGGGCTCCCAGGGGACCCGGTAAGTGGTTGGACTCACCCTGTCCGCCCTCTTGTGCTCTGCGGACATAGCAGAGAGAGCCCGCTGTAACTCTCCTGCAAAGTGCCAGGAATGATGCAGGCAGCCTGCCAGATCCTTGGAATCTTCTGGAATGAGAGAGGTTGAGCTGCAGCCCAAAGGCCTGTGAAAGTGCCAGGTTGAAGGGTGACGGGGTGCCCAGATTCCCACCTTCAAATTTCCTGGCAGCATCCTGGCTGTCATGGAGCGCTGTCTCCAGTTCAGTTTTCTGACACATAAGGATTCGTATGGTATGATCCTGGGCCTTTGGGAGACAAGAAAAGCAAGTGCTGAAAGAGAAGCAAAGAAACCTTCTCCAGAGGACAGGAGGGAACTTCACACCCTCCACTCACCTCTAGCTGCCTCCTTAGGGCTTGCTGATGTTGGTGGCTTGCCTTCTTTTCCTATAGAAAAGAAGAGGAAGACAGAGCTCTTACTAGAGGGAGGCAGAGATGGCACAGCAAGAGACATGCCCCCAGCATGGCACCACTGTCCCAGGACAGGCCCACCCATGGGACCAGGTTATCAGGGACCCTGTGGGGATGGGGTGGAAGCTGGGAGGTGAGCCTTCCTCCCCAGGCTGGGAGTAGGCGAGACGAGACTGGGGCCTCTACATCTGAGTGCCCCCCAAACCCAGCGGTCATGTCGTGAGCAAAGAAAGAAACCATGTTACCTCTTTCAGCTGAGCTCCGTTCTGTTGTTTCTGTGGGGAGAGTCAAAGGAAGGTGACTGAGGGTGGCCCCTCGACTCTATTGCCCAGGCCAGGAAGCGGTACGCAGGGGTCAGGAATGGATTTTAAGGGCAAAGTTCTCAGACCCAATGGGAACACAAACTGGTCAACTTGCCTTAACGCCCAAAGAAAAAGGATTTGGGTCTTTGTTGGTTTTTGCCCACAGCCACAGAACTGAAAGTCTGAAACTAGATTCTCTGGAAAAGACAGTAACATAAACCTTCCGACATAAGAGTGTGAGAAAAGCCCACCCTTCTGCCAGCTTGTGATGGAGAAAGATGTGTTCATTCAACAAGCATTGAGCAAGCACATAGGGGCCGGGGACAGTTCTTCACAGCTGGGATATAGGACGGAAAAGGCAGACAGGAGCCCTTGGCCCCAAGGTTTCCATTCTAGTGAATCTTTAAATCTCAGACTCTCAGAGCAAACAGAACCCTCTGATACTCTAACTCTACCTCCTCAGGAAACGGAAGCCCAAAGAGGAGGGGAGCTTACAGCAGGCCCTGGACTAGGGATTAACACAAAAACAACAGCAACAAATCTGATTTAAGCTTCACACATGTAAGTAAAACATTACCATCCCCATTTTACAGGTGTGAAAAGAGAGGCCCAAAGAACTCGAGCAATTTTCCCTAAACCGTGTCCCTCGCAGATGGAGAGAGAAGTAGGACTCAAACCCAGAATTCTTAGCCAGTACCCGGCAGTTCTTCCTTCCACAATCTTAACAGTTACCCTCGACCTCCCCCTTGTGCCCCTTGTCCTCAGGAGACCGGCCAGCCAAGACTCACATCCTCAGGCGAGTGGCAGCCCCCCGAAGTGGTTGTCTCAGGGTTAGTGCCATGATTTATTTTCTTCTTTTTGGTGTCGGTTGCTCCGGTACCAACACCAGCAATGTTCCACTGACGATAGTCTGTGAACTGTGGAAAAGAGGAGCAGTGATACTCATGAGAACTACAAGCTCCTACAGTCACTTTACAGTTTATACAAAATACTCTCATAGACGATCTGATTTAATGCCACCAACGACTGTACGAGGTGTTGTCGCAATCACTTAGTGACTGAGAGGGATTGATACCATGGCTAAAAGAAAGGCAATAATGGAACTGAAACTCAGTCTTCTGACTCTGAGCTCTGGGGTGTTGCCACAAATCAGCAGCTGCCAGAGACCAAAACCAGAGGCAGAGGTAGGAAAGTAAAAAGTAGGCAGGAAGGTGTACACTGTGTGGTTTACAGTCGTACATCCTCTTAGAGTTATGTATCCTCAGGGCAGAAGGCAGCCTTTCTGTTAAATGTGGGAATTAAACAGAAAGAGGACAACCCAAGCTGCATTTCAGAGAGAAGTCTTGTATACTCTTTGAAATCTATGTGCCTATCATCCCTAAGAACATTAATGTTTTGTCTCTCCCACGAGAATCAAGGGAAACTGATGCTTCAGAAAGATGCCCCATCTGTATCCTGTGGCACTCAAAGTACCCCAGGTTGAGATGAGATGAGGAAGATTCAAGTTGTCAAGTCCAGTTTCCCAAGATCTCTTGCACAGAAGATGAGCAAATCTCACTTCAAAGATCACTGACTGATGGGCACTCTGGTCCCAGAACCATGGAGAATTCAAATATGAGGTGGATAACTTAGAAAAAACTGTTAAAGTCTCTCTGGAGAGTAGAAGCCTGGGAGAAAACCAAACCAAACCCATTCTCCCATCAGTGCTGCGCCCAAGTTGCCTCTTTGAGATTGGCGTGGGGTCACAGGGTTGGGACCCAGGTACTTGGAGACGTGAGCCCAAAGAGCCCAGGGAAGTCAGGCTTGGGGCAGTGGTAGGTGAGGGCTGAGTATGGAGTGGGGAGCCCCAGGAGTCACCTGCCCAAAGTCACCCTGGGGTGACTGGTGAGGGCAGGTGCTGGGGCATCCAGTTCCTTGGAAACGTGAGCCCGAAGGGCCCAGGGAGATCCGTTTTTGGACAATAGGAGGTGAGGGCAGAGTACCAAGCAGGGAGCCCCACGAGTCACCGGCTGAAAGTCACCCTGGGGTGACCGGTGAGGGCAGCGGCCGGACTGCTGAGGGGTTGGGGCTGACACAAGATTTTGGTTGGGGGAGCCCAGAGGCACTGGGGGGGCCCAGCCCTGTGTGCCTCTGGAGTGACACGGATTCTGGCAGCTGTTCTGCCATCAGAGGGGACCTGGGGCTGGGTTGGGGTTGGGGTGCTGCAATCCGATGCATTTTACCTTTCTCTTGGCCCCAGCCAATTTTCTGTGTCAGGTTTTTTCTGACATCATGGGGTGGGGAGGGAGGTGGGGTTGGGGCCACATTGGCGTGATCCAGGCGAGGACAGTGATATGCCTCCAGTCACGTACCACGCAGCTATGTGACTGAGCCACAGGAGGTGTCACCAGGGTCTCACTAGAATGCAGAAAAGGGGCGTGGCCTTAATGATCCAAGCCCATTGGTCAATGAGAAAGATGAAAGGGAAAGGAGGCGGGGCCAGGCAGCTGCGTGTCATGAAGGTCCTGTGATGTCACAAGGAAAGCTGCCCATGCAACTGCTGTCCCCGCCCACTCTGGGAGAGAGGCGGGGCTGGCTTTCACTTTCTAAACTTTAAAACTTTATCACCTTAATTGAGGTACAAATCCTGTTGTAATGGAAAATTTACAGCGTGTTTAATGATTAGTAAAGCAGATTATATTATCCAACATTCCAATAAGATAAAATAATCACAGTGATTTCTCTTTTTTGGAAAAAGTTTCTCTTATTCTCCTACATTATTGTTAAGTTTTTTTTTTTTAAACTAGAGACATGTCTAATATATTTAAAAACACAAAGCTTTTGAGGTGGGCGTGGTGGCTCATGCCTGTAATCCCAGCACGTTGGTAGGCTGAGATGGGCATATCACCTGAGATCAGGAGTCAAGACCAAAATTTTAGTATTTTAGTGTGTATTTTAGTATTTATTTTAGTATTTAATACATCATTTAGGGCTACATGTAGCCACAGAAAGAATAAATCTGATTCAGTGACTTAAAGAAATATAGATTTCATTTTTGTCACTTAAAATGTTCAGAGGAAGGCAGTCCAGGGTTCTTTTCAGTTTCCTGATACTTTCTTAGCCAGGTTTTTATTCTTGTGGTTAAAATATGGCTGCTGTTTTTCCAGGCCTTGGATTGCCTTCCAAGGAGGGAAAGAAGAAAGGTCAGAAGGCTGAGTTTCTCTCTTTTTAGCTGAAAAACATAGATTTCTCAAAAGTTGTAAGATTATACTGCAATTCAATTTTCATTCCTTTTTTTTTTTTTTTTTTGAAACGCAGTCTTGCTCTGTTGCCAGGCTGGAGTACAGTGGCACAATCTCGGCTCACTGTCACAATGTCCGCCTCCATGGTTCAAGCGATTCTCCTGCCTCAGCCTCCCTAATAGCTAGGAATACAGGCGCATGACACCACGCCCGGCTCATTTCTTTTTGTATTTTTAGTAGAGACGAGATTTCACCATGTTGGCCAGGCTGGTTTTGAACTCCAGACCTTGTGATCCGCCCGCCTCTGCCTCCCAAAGTGCTAGGATTAGAGGCGTGAGCCACCGCGCCTGGCCTGCAATTTTCATCTTTTGGCTGCAAATAAGTTATGTCACTATTCTCAGCTGGGGGAGTGTTTAACTCACATGTTGCTTCCTCTCTGTTAGACAGGTTTTAAGATTTATGAATAGGTACTGAATTGTATCAATTGCTTTTTTCTTTCTTGATTGAGCAATGTTTTTTCTTATCTTTTTATGTTGATAAGGTAACTTAACAGTGATTGGCTTTTGAATGTTGAACATTGCATTTCTGGAATTAAATCAACTTTGTTGTGATAAATGATTAATACCATATTATGTATGGTTGAGATGGGCTTGCTCCTAGTTCATTTGGTAGTTTTGTACTTATGTTCACAAGAGAAAGTGGAGTCTAATTTTTTTTTTTCTGGTGATTTTTGTTCGTTTGTTTGTTTGTTTGTTTGTTTGTTTTTGCCATGGAGTCTGGCTCTGTTATCCAGGCTGGAATGCAGTGGCGTGATCTCAACTCATTGCAAGCTCCACCTTCTGGGTTCATGCCATTCTCCTGCTTCAGCCTCCTGAGTAGCTGGGACTACAGGCGCCCAACACCACACCTGGCTAATTTATTGTATTTTTTAGTAGAGACGGGGTTTCACCTTGTTAGCCAGGATGGTCTCGATCTCCTGACCTCGTGATCCACCCGCCTCGGCCTCCCAAAGTGCTGGGATTACAGGCTTGAGCCACCACGCCCAGACTTGTGAGGTTTTAATATGAAGTATTAAAGCTATGCTGGTTAGACAATTTGGAAAATGTTTCTTCTCCTATTTCTGACAGAGTTTATGTAAGATGTGTGCTATTTCTTCCTTAAGCATTTGGAAAGAATTCACTTATTAAGCCATGTGAGACTGTAGTTTTCTTTATAAGGTGTTTAACTACAGGTTCAATTACATATATATAAATATTCATTTTGGTAACCTGTGTTTGCTGAATCAATTTGTTCATTTTATCGAAAATTTCAAAGTTATTCTATTATTCATTTATCTTTTTAATACTTATAAAGTCTCCGGTTAGAGTTTGTGCCTTTTGTCTGTTTTGTTAATCAATCTTGCTGGAGGCCATCAATTTTATTAGTGTTTCAAAAAAGCAAACTTTGATTTTATTCATCCCTTTACCATACTGAAAATGTTTTGCTTAATTTCCAAACTTATAGTTCCACTGTGATTAAATATTTGTATAACTAAAACTCTGTGGAATTTGTGTCTTCTCAATGATTGAAAATATGATTAATTTTTATAAATATTGCTTCTGCACTTGAAAAGGATATGTATTCTGCATGTTGAGCGTAGTGTACCACGTATCTCAGTTAGGTCCAGTGTGTTAAATGCATCCTTTAAAGATTCTATGTGCTTACTGATGTTTGTTTATTTTTCAGTGGCTGAGACACAGATATTAAAGTTTCCCACAATGATCATCAACTTATTTCTTTTTTTTCATTTGTTAAGCTTGTTCTGTGTGTTTTAAGGTTAAGTTACCAGGCATAAACACATTTAGAATTCCTTTTTCTCCCTTCTGGTTGCACCCTTTTATCATGAGGAAATACCCACTTTATCTCTCACATAGCTCTTTCGTTAAGAGTTTTTTTTAATATGTAAGAGAAAATAAAGTCTTGGAACCACCAAACCTGTTATGCTAAGGGAGACGTTAAGTTTGGGAGCTGAGTCATGCAACACTACCATTCTTTCTCCCCAAAGAGATAGCTGCCATTTCACAACCCTGTGTGATGGCATTAGACATAAGCCAGGTCCCCACTACCACAAAAGGCCACGTACCTCTCCATATGGCCTCCCTCACAAATCGCTCACAGGGATGTTCTTTACTGGCCCCTGAATCTTTCAGGATCCATGTCCCCCTATAAAATAAGCATATGCCCATTGTAACCGTGGCTCTGCAACCTCAGTTCAAGATGTAAAACTGAGTTCTATTCAATCTGACACTGACAATGTTGATTACAGGCCTATCTTCCCAGGTACAGAACAAGAACATGAGATCAATCACTCTTCCACCTACCCTGAGATGGCTGCATAATTGACTCTTTCCTTCCTCTTTTCAGATGTTTACCTTATCTTATGTAAAATGAAGATTTACTGAGCACTAATTAGAGCTTCCTAAGAATGTAACCACCGCTTCACTGCCTGCTCCCCCTCCCTTTCTTCTCTCCTGCACGCCTTCTCCCCTTATGTACTGAGTTCCCAAAACCCTCTTTGGAAAGCACAGGTCACAGGCGTTTCTCTGGCTTGTGTTTTTTCTGGGGGTATCATCAAATTTTGGCTGAACAAAGCTCTGTTGATGGAGGCACTTGCCTCAGTCAGTCACTCATTTTTTGATTAACAGATATAAATATAGTTACCCCTGTTTTTATTTACTTAGTCTTTGCTTTGTCAGTTCTTTGACTCTCAATTTTTCTTTTTTAAAAATAAATCTTATTGTGTATATTTAAGGCTTACAACATGATGCTAAGAGTTATATATAGATTGTAAAAAGATTCCTATACTGAAAGAAATTAACACACCAATCATTTCACATAGTTCCCCATTTCCTTGTTGCTTTTGTGGCAAGAGCAGTTGAAATCTACTCATTTAGCATGAATTTCACATGCATAACAATTTTGTTCCCTGCAGTCCTCATGTCATACATTACATCTCTAGACTTGTTCATCCTTCATACCTGCTACTTTGTGTCCTTTGGCCTCCATGTCCCCAATTCCTCCCCTCTCCCACCTCCCCTGGTAAACAATGTTTTGCTCTCTATCTCTGTAGATTTATTTATTTACATTTTTACATCCCACATATAAATGGGTTTATGCAATATTTGTTTTTCTGTGTATGCTTTATTTCACTTAGCATGACGTCCTCCAGCCTCATCCATCTTGCAGCAAATGGCAAGACCTTGTTTGTTTTAGGGCTGAATAATATTCCATTGTGTGTGTGTGCCACAGTCTCTTTATCCATTTATCCATTGATGGACACTTAGATTGTTTCCATATCTTGGCTATTATGGTTAGGACTGCAATGAACATGAGAATACAGGTAACTTTACATAGTAATGATTTCATTTCCTTTGGGTGTATGCTCAGAAGAGGGATTGCTGAGTCATATGGTAGTTCTATTTTTAATTTCTCTAGAAATCTTCATACTCTTTTCCAGAATGACTGTATCAATGTACATTCTCATCAACAGTATGCAAAAGTTCCTATTTCGCCACACCCTTGCCAACATTTATCTTTTGACTTTTTGATAATAGTCATAAGGGGTGTGAGGTGGCATCTCAATGGGTTTGATTTGCATTTCCCTAATGATTTACAATGCAAAACGCCTTTCAGATACCCACTTGCTATTTTCATGTTTTGTTTAAAGAAATGTCTATTCAAGTTTTTTAAAAACATTTTAAAAATTAGGTTATTTGTTTTGAGTTGTATTAATTCTTTATACATTTTGGATTTTTTTTTTTTTTTTTTTTTGGAGACAGGGTCTTGCTCTGTTACACAGACTGGAGTACAGTGGCACAATCACAGCTTACTTGACCTTCTGGGTTCAAACACTCCTCCATCTCAGCCTCCCAAGTAGTTGTGACTACAGGCGCACACCACCATGCCTGGCTAAGTTCTAAATTTTTTGTTAAGACAAGGTCTCACTATGTTGCCAGACCTGGACTCAAACTCCTGGGCTCAAGTGATCCTCCTACCTCAGCTTCTGAAAGTGCTGGGATTAAGGAGTGAGCCACTGCACCGGGCTAAATGTTGGATATTTACCCCTAATTGGCTGGGTATAGTGGCTCACACTTGTAATCTCAGCACTTTGGAGGCCGAGGTGCTTGGATCACTTGTGGTCAGGGGTTCGAGACCAGCCTGGCCAATATGGTGAAACCCCATAATGGAGTTTCGGCTTGTTTAACTGGGAAATGAGGATCATGACCATCCCTGTCAAGCAGGAGAGGAGATGGGCTGATGTGTATTGTGAGGCCCAACATGGTGAAACCCCATTTCTACTAAAAATACAAAAATTAGCCAGGCATGGTGGTGGGCACCTGATATCCCAGCTACTCGGGAGGCTGAGGCAGGAGAATTGCTTGAACCCAGGAGGTGGAGGTTGCAGTGAGCCAAGATTGCACCATTGCACTCCTGTGTGGGCAACAGAGTAAGACTTCGTCTCATTAAAAAAAAAAAAAAAAGAATATTCACTTCAATAAATGGTGAGACCAGCTTTGCAAAGATGACAGTGAGAGAAGTTTAGCATGGCTGACTCCATCTTGCTTCCAGTCTCACGGGCCTGCTGTCTTTGCTCATTCCTGGGCATAGGCCAAATCAGCCATGGGAGAAATGTAGTTCATAGTCTAACGTTGCCATTTCCAGTCCTCGGGGGTCACCTCTTTCCACTCCACGCTTAGTTATCAATTTGTTACTCTGCTTTAAAATGTACCTTTTTTTTTTTGTAATCTCAGCTACTCAGGAGACTGAGGCAGGAGAATCGGTTGAACCTGGGATGCGGAGGTTGCAGTGAGCTGAGATCGCACCATTGCACTCCAGCCTGGGCAACAGAATGAAACTGTCTCATAAAACAAATATAACATGAAATGGTAACGTCTTTCTTTAAAACCAAAGAAAATATGCAAGGCGGATGTCTTCCTGTCACTTCGCACAGTCTACTCCCATAGCGCCTGAGCCCCAGACCCCAAACTCACTGTCCTGCTCGGGGACCCCCAGACCACAGTGAACATTACGGGTACCCCAAGTACTCTCCTATCCTCACCTCGCTCCTGCAGTAAATGGCTAAATGAATAACTCAGAAGTGAAGCCAAAAAGAAAAAGAAAATGCACATGGGGAACAGGAGAGGAGAGCAGAGGCCACAGTGTGGAGGCCTGGGCTGATACACTGCAAAGAGATCTTTGGGGCTCCGAAGAGATCTTTGAGGCTCCAGGTCTCATGAGTGGGGGCCAGGCTCCCTAGAGAAACCCTTCTTGTCTAGGGCTGGGGAGCCCACCAGAGTGACCCAATCAGTTCTCAGGGCCTGTGATGGGGCCACATGGTTTTGAGAAGCCGGTGTTCAGCTCCATCCTAAAGAGCACTCATGCACGTTGGGGAGGAGGGCCGGGGTGCACAGCTCTGACCTGAGTCAGACCCACCTCAGGACTGAGCCCAGCAGAAGGAGGCCCAGAGTCACTGACCATAAAAGGAGCAGATGCCCTCCCCCGTGTTGGTTGAGATGAGTCTTGGGCATTAACTCTAATAATTTCTAACTGCACCCAGAAATACTGATTCACACAGCAACTAGTAAATAATAGCCTTTTAGAGCTAAAAAAAAAAAAGCCTTGTATGGTTTATTATGAATTAACATATGCATTTTACACAAACTAGAGGCACCGTGGTGGGCCAGCAGCAGCCTGTTAGGGGCCACAGCAAGGAGACTGGATTTCCTCAAGTGCAATGGGAGTTACTGGCTAGGCTTTAAGGTTTTAGCCACAGGAAAGATGAATGTATTTCAGAGCAACGTGGGTGGATTCAAAATGAGGTTTAGAACTAGATCCATTAAATTTTTTTTTTTTTTTAGACGGAGTCTGACTCTTATTGCCCAGGCTGGAGTGCAGTGGTGCTATCTCGGCTCACTGCAACCTCTGCCACCCAGGTTCAAGGGATTCTCCTACCTCAGCCTCCCGAGTAGCTGGGATTACAGGCACCTGCCATTGTGTCTGGCTAATTTTTGTATTTTTAGTAGAGACGGGGTTTCACCATCTTGGCCAGGCTGGTCTTCAACTCCTGACCTCATGATCCACCCACCTTGGCCTCCCAAACTGCTGAATTTTTTATCTGAAAAATCTCCCACCGGGCGCGGTGGCTCACGCCTGTAATCCCAGCACTTTGGGAGGCCAAGGCGGGCACATCATGAGGTCAGGAGATCGAGACCATCCTGGCAAACGCAGTGAAACCCCATCTCTACTAAAAACATAAAAAATTAGCCAGGCATGGTGGCGGGTGCTTGTAGTCCCAGCTACTTGGGAGGCTGAGGCAGGAGAATGGCGTGAATCCGGGAGGTGGAGCTTGCAGTGAGCCAAGATCGCGCCACTGCACTCCAGCCTGGGCAACAGAGCGAGACTCCATCTCAAAAAAAAAAAAAAAGAAAAGAAAAGAAAAGAAAAAAAAGAAAAATCTCCCCTCTCCAAAAATCTCCCGGCATTTCTACAGAAGTCTCTACCTAGGTAAGGAGAAGAAACAATTCTTGGCCGGGTACAGTGGCTCACGCCTGTAATCCCAGCACTTTGGGAGGCCGAAGCTGGTGGATCACGAAGTCAGTAGTTCAAGACCAGCCTGGCCGAGATGGTGAAACCCTGTCTCTACTAAAAATACAAAAAAATTCGCCAGGCGTGGTGGCAGGCGTCTGTAATCCCAGCTACTTGGGAGGCTGAAGCAGAGAATTGGTTGAACCCATGAAGCGTAGGTTGCAGTGAGCCAAGATCACGCCACTGCACTCCAGCCTGGGTGACAGAGCAAGACTCCATCTCAAAACATAAGACGAAAAAAAAATTTTTTAGGGAGCTGAAAAGTGAACTGATTTCCTCATTTCTCCTTGCAAGGAATCAATTGATAGCCCAAAATTGAAACCCAGAGTTAAAATAAACGTAACTCCCACCCTCTTAGTGTTTCTCACTTTTTTTTTTTTTTTTTTGAGACAGGGTCTCACTTCTGTTGCCCAGGCTGGAGTGCAGTGGCGTGATCATGGCTCACTGTAGCCTCAACTTCTGGGGTCAAGTGATCCTCCCATAGCCTCCTGAGTAGCTGGGACTACAAGCACATGTCACCATGCCTGGCTAATTTTTGTATTTTTTTGCAGAGATGGGGTTTCATCATGTTGCCCAGGCTGATCTCAAACTCCTGGGCTCAAGTGATCTGCTGGCCTTGGCCTCCCAAAGTACTGGGATTATAGGCATGAGCCACTGTACCTGGCCTACTAACTTTAATTTTAGGTGTATCTTTTAGGAAGTAATATCTCATGGCAAAATAATGTTTGTCATTCAGTAGTTACTGTAGTTTCATTTCAGTTTTTCTTTTGTTAAATTCAAGCAAAATATAGTTTTATGTTTTTAATTAAAATCCCATATGTGTTTCCCCATCAGATAAAATATGCCTGTCATTTAACCTATGTACTCACATGGAAAAATGTCTGGGGTGGAGTTCTTTTTTTTTTCTTTTTTTTTTTGAGACGGAGTCTCACTCCGTCGCCCAGGCTGGAGTGCAGTGGTGCCATCTCGGCTCACTGCAAGCTCCGCCTCCCGGGTTCACGCCATTCTCCTGCCTCAGCCTCCTGAGTAGCTGGGACTACAGGCGCCCTCCACCATGCCCGGCTAATTTTTTGTATTTTTAGTAGAGACCGGGTTTCATCGTGTTAGCTAGGATGGTCTCGATCTCTTGACCTCCTGATCCATCCACCTGACCTCCGGATCCGTCCGCCTCCGCCTCCCAAAGTGCTGGGATTACAGTCATGAGCCACCTCCCCGGCCCTATTTTATATTTCTTCACAAAATAATAATGCTGTATGCAAAGCTGCCAAAAGGTTTATACTTTTCGTTTGTTTTTGAGACAATCTTGCTCTGTTGCCCAGGCTGGAGTGCAGTGGTGCAATAACAGCTCACTGCAACCTCCACCTCAAGCCATCCTCCCACCTCTGCCTCCAGAGTATCTGGGGTTGGAGGTAAAAGCCACCACGCCCCGCTAATTAATTTTTTTCTTTTTTTGGTAGAGACGGGTCTCGCTACGTTGCCCAGGCTGGTCTTGAACGTCTGAGCTCAAGCGAGCCTCCCACCTCGGTCCCCAAAGTGCTGGGATTATAGGTGTGAGCCACTGTGCCCAGCTTGTAGCATCGTTTATAGACAACAAAACCTGGCAGCAACCGGCCAGGCGCGGTGGTTCACGCCTGTAATCCCAGCACTTTGGGAGGTAGAGCGGACGGATCACCTGAGGTCAGGAGTTCAAGACCAGCCTTGCCAAGATGGTGAAACCGCGTCTCTACTCAAAATACAAAAATTAACCCGGGCGTGGTGGCGGACGCCTGTAATTCTAGATACTCGGAGGCTGAGGCCGAGAATCGCTTGAATCCGGGAGGCGGAAGGTTGCAGTGAGCCGAGATCGCGCCATTGCACTCCAGCCTGGGCGACAGAGCGAGACTCTGTCTCAAAAAAACAAACCAACCTGGTAGCTACCTAACACCCAACAATGGCTGAATGGTTAGACAAATTATTATACTGTCATTAGAATAATCATATTTATGTACCGATACAGAAACTGATATATATTAAATAAAAAGGAAATTTCGTATATTGTAATTGGAAACATGTAAAAGTATGTATACATTATGGGAAAACACCTAAAATACTAATAATTAGGTGAGGGTTGTGGAATTGAGTCACTTTAAAAAATATTTTTTTCCAAAAAAAATAAAATAACTTTTTCCTATTTTTCAAGCTTGTAATTTTGTTGTTGTTTCTTTTTTTTTTTTTTTTTGAGACGGAGTCTCGCTCTGTCGCCCAGGCTCGAGTGCAGTTGTGTGATCTCCGCTCACTGCAAGCTCTGCCTCCCGGGTTCACACCCTTCTCCTGGCTCAGCCTCCCGAGTAGCTGGGACTACAGGCCTCCGCCACGACGCCCAGCTAATTTTTTGTATTTTTAGTAGAGACGGGGTTTCACTGTGTTAGCCAGGATGGTCTCGATCTCCTGACCTTGTGATCCACCCGCCTCGGCCTCCCGAAGTGCTGGGATTACAGGCGTGAGCCACCGCGCCCGGCTTGTTGTAGTTTATTAAAACGAGGAAACTAGACTATGGGATCACAAGCCCAGAGCCCCATGTAGCTGACTCTAGCGCCAAGGGCGGAAGAGAAACGCCCAGCGCCAGGGCTCTCCTTCGATCTCTGCAGCGGCGCGCCGGGCTTCGCGCTCCGGTGAGTTGGGCCGGCCTCCGCTGGAGGCTCTTCGGGGACCGCTGCCCGCCGGTGCGTCCTGCCGCGCTCCGCTGCCCGGATATTGCAGAGGACACCACTCAGAAAGTATGCGTGTTTCTCCGCGCTGGAAACTTAACCAGGAGTCCTGCATTTCCATTTGCGAAATCCGGGAACCCCCGCCCCACCCAGCGCCTCACCGGCCCCTCACTGCCGCCGCGTCCGGCGCCACTGCTGTCCCCGCAGCCTAAGGCGCCGGTCCCTGGCACCCCCGTCCCGCCCCCGCCCCTCTTCCTGCTCCTCCCCCACCCGTCCCCCTCCCCTCCCCCGCCCGCGCCTCCCGGTCACCCCCCATCCCGCCCCGCGGGGCGCGGCGCGCAGGCGCAGGCTCGGAGGGCGGGCGCGGGCGGAATGGGGACTGCAGCTGCGGCAGCGGCGGCGGCGGCGGCGGCGGCGGCCGGGGAGGGGGCGCGTAGCCCGAGCCCCGCCGCCGTGTCGCTCGGCCTGGGCGTGGCCGTCGTGTCGAGCCTGGTGAACGGGTCCACGTTCGTGCTACAGAAGAAGGGCATCGTGCGTGCCAAGCGGCGAGGTAGGGCGGGCGGCAGGCGGCAGGCGGCGGGCGGGTGGGGGAGGCGGGCGGCGGAGAAGGCGGTCGCAGGTGGGGGCGCCCGGGTCGGGGCAGGGGACGGGGTCGGGGCCCGGGCCCAGGTTGGGGGAAGGCTGCGCGGGCGGGTGCTCCCCGCGGCGTGCCCAGGCTGCCGCCGCGTCCTGGCGCTCGGGCCCGGGAGCGGCCCAGGAATCACAGGTGCGTCCTGAGCGTCCGGCGCTTCGCCGACGCCACGGCTTTTCTCCGTTCTCAGCGGCTGGAGCGGCTTGCTTTGGTGTGCGGGCTTCCCCGGCTGACTTTTTCCCTCGGTCCAAGACCTGCCCCGCGCCGCCCGGCAGCCCTCGCCGTGGCCCGCAACCCGCGGCCGGGAGCCTCCTGCGGACGCGGTGCTGGGGTGCTCGAGCCCAGCGCCCGCCTGGAAGCGCCGCTTCAGCCGATGCGCGGCCCGCTCCTAGGGTACGCTCGGTAGAGCAAGACCTGGGATTTCCAGTCCCCCGCAGGGGCCTCGCTGGTGCAAAAGGAAGACCCGGGCGGGCTCTCAGGGCTGTGCGTTCCTGGGGTGCTCTTACGGAGCCCGCTGCGCCTTAGACCTGCACCAAATGAATACAAGTGATCTTCAGTTTGGAGAACACGCGCGGCAGATCCAAAACCAAGCCCTGGACGGGCCAAGGCCACTTCCCAGGTGGATGTGCCGCAGCACCGCACTCCGTAGTGCTCTGCGGGGTAGAGCTCTCTGTCAGTGTCGTTTGTGCTGGGAGGCCCCGGACGGGACCGGTTTGCCAATGCAGGATATGGCAGGCTGTGAAACAGTCCGTTTCCATTGCTTCCAGAGGGACTGAGAAAGTCTTGTGGTTCTTGGCCATACTCTTAGAAGAAGAATATTAAGAGCTCTCTGGGAAGGATGTGGCCCCCGACTCTTGGGTTGTGAGAGAAAGTGAACTCGTAATTTACATGGCGGAATGCAGGTGAAACTTTCTCTGAGTGAGCCAGGCGTTGGCTTCAGAGAAGAGATAAAGGGCCCGACAGTCTCGAATGAAAATATAAAATCATGGATAATTTAAGGAATTTAGCTTTAAAGTGAAAGCATAGTGGTCTCCCATACAATTTAAATAGAATTAAATAAAACCAAGTATGATTTTCCAAGGATGCAGATGTGTCTGTCTCTAAGGCACACAGATACACACACACCGCAGCCACACTTCAGGGAGCATCTGTCCGTGTGACAGGCCCCAGGACTGGGTGAGATGGTCAACGCGCGTGACCTTATAAATAGGATGGCCTGAGAAAGCACCTCACCTCCCCAATCCACGGCCCTAGCGTAAGCATGAGGAAAACACCACACAAACCGGAGTAGAAGAACATCTTGCGGCCGGGCGCGGTGGCTGGTGCCTGTAGTCCCAGCACTTTGGGAGGCCGAGGCGGGCGGGTCACAAGGTCAGGAGATCTAGACCATCCTGGCTAACACGACGAAACCCCATCTCTACTAAAAATACAAAAAATTATCCCGGTGTGGTGGCACGCACCTGTAGTACCAGCTACTCGAGAGGCTGAGGCAGGAGAGTCTCTTGAACCCGGGAGACAGAGGTTGCAGTGAGCCGGGATCCGCCACTGCACTCAGCCTGGGCGGCAGAGCAAGACTCCATCTCAAAAAAAAAAAAAAAAATCTTGCAGTACACCTGACCAGTCCTCTGTGAAGGTCATGGAATCTGAAAGCACGTCACAACCAGGAGGAGCCTAAGAACACGTGAACACCAGATGTAAGACATTAGGGAAAAACGAAGGAAAGCTGAATACCAGCTTTAGTTAGTTTTCTAAAAAGTTGAGGAAAACTGTGTTATTTCAACCCAGGTCATGTGGCTCAAAGGAATTGGTGAATAGGAAAATAAACAAGCGAGTAGCCTTTTAAAAAAAACATGATAAGCTGGGTGCAGTGGCTCACACCTGTAATCCCAGCTACTCGGGAGGCTGAGGCAGGAGAATTGCTTGAACCCAGGAGGGGGAGGTTGCAGTGAGCCAAAATTGTGCCATTGCACTCCAGCCCGAGCGAGAAGAACAAGGCTCTGTCTTAAAAAAAAAAAAAAAAAAGATAAATGCTGTTTCTTATACCTATATACTATGCTTTCATTCATTTATTTATTTTTTATTATGATTTTTTTTTGAGACGGAGTTTCGCTCTTGTTGCCCAGGCTGGAGTGCAATGGCGCGATCTTGGCTCACTGAACCTCTGCCTCCCGGGTTCAAGCGATTCGCCTGCCACAGCCTCCCGAGCTGGGATTACAGGCGCGTGCCACCATATCTGGCTAATTTTGTGCTTTTACTGGAGATGGGGTTTCATCATGTTGGCCAGGATGGTCCCGAACTCCAGACCTCAGGTGATCTGCCCACCTCAGTCTCCCAAAATGCTGGGATTACAGGCGTGAGCCACCAACACTCGGCCTATATTATGGTTTTAAATTGATCAAAGTGAACTTGTGATTTTCATTATTTATTTTAAGCCCCAGACATTGCATGGTGTTAGGCTTTAGCTCTATGACTCTTCAGAGCCTCCCGTCCAGGAGGCCATTAGCACCTCAGTTCTTCCCGGTCTGGACCCAAGGTCCTTTCCATCCCTGTGAGCCACCCATCAAGGTGAGCTGAGAGACCAGCCGGCGGGGCAGAGTCACTTACGGCTGAGAGGAATTGTTTTGGGATTTGGTTAGTAAGTAGGAGAGAAAAGGAGAAGAAAACTTGTATGGGGGTTGAGCACCTCCCGCCGAAGAAGGCGAGGGAGGCATGGAGGTGTCTTACACTAGGGAACATTTCCGAGTCATGTGGCACCAAAGTATGTTACCAGTGGGGAATCCATGTGGGACTGCAACAACCTCAATTCTTGCTTCCTCAGAAGAAAGAATTTGGCTGAGGGGCACAAAGCAGAAGGAGACCTAGGCAAGGTTTAGAGCAGGAATGAAAGTTTTTTTTTGGAGATGGAGTCTAGCTCTGTCACCCAGGCTGGAGTGCAGTGGCGCGATCTTGGCTCATTGCAGCCCCCGCCTCCTAGGCTCAAGCAATTCTCCTGTCTTAGGCTCCTGAGTAGCTGGGATTACAGGTACACGCTACCATGTCCAGCTAATTTTTGTATTTTAGCAGAGACGGGGTTTCACCATGTTGGCCAGGCTGGTATTGAACTCCTGACCTCAGATGATCTGCCCACCTTGGCCTCCCAAAGTGGTGGGATTACAGGTCTGAGCCACCATGCCCTGTCAAAAGTTTATTTAAAAGCTTTAGAACAGGAATGAAAGGAAGTAAAGTAGACTTTGAAGAGGGCCAAGCTGGCAACTTGAGAGATCAGAGGCCTTCATTAATTTCATACTTCCCCAGTGACCACCCAGTGCCACTGATTCAGGCTAGCTGTGTTACTCATGGTGGTAGAAGATAGACATAGAGTCTTGTTTCAATGTCTGCTTTGATTTGTTCAACAGATACTGATGAAGCTTTTTTTGTTTTTGTTTTGTTTTTGAGATGGAGTCTTGCTCTGTCACCAGTCTCGATCTCCTGACCTTGTGATCCTCCCGCCTCGGCCTCCCAAAGTGCTTTTTTTTTTTTTTTTGAGACGGAGTTTTGCTTTTGTTGCCCAGGCTGGAGTGCAATGGTGCAATCTCACTGCAACTTCCACCTCCCGGGTTCAAGCGATTCTCCTGCCTCAGCCTCCCGAGTAGTTGGGTTATAGGCATGCACCACCACGCCTGGCTAATTTTGTGTTTTTAGTAGAGACAGGTTTCTCCATATTGGTCAGGCTGGTCTCGAACTTCCAAACTCAGGTGATCCACCCACCTTGACCTCCCAAAGTGCTGGGATTACAGGCGTGAGCCACCATGCTTGGCCTTGATGAAGCTCTTGTAATGCACCAGGCATTGTGTAGGTGTTGAGAATACAGCAGTTTTAAAATCTACTCGCCATAAAATCCTTTCCTACATCTGTTGCAAGCAGCAGAATTGACCAGTATGAAATGACAGAAATAGAGGATGAGGGAGGAGAGGGGAGATACGCAAGCACCAGAGAATGAAGTTCTTGCTTTAAGGGAGACCTAGCGTGACGTTCCTTATGCTGGAAAAAGTTGTGTCTTACTGAAATTTTAAGCTTTAAAAATTTTTTAAATTTTTGGATGGATTTAGGGGTACAAATGCAGTTATGTTATATGGTTATATTGCACAGTGGTGAAGTCTGGGCTTTTAATGTAACATCACCTGAATATAATATTTCATCGCTCCCACCCTTCCCTTCAGGTTAACCCAGCTAGCCTGTATCAGTGGCACTGGGTGGTCACTGGCGAAGTATGAAATTAATGAAGGCACTTGATCTCTCAAGTTGCCCGCTTGGCCCTCTTCCAAGTCTACTTTACTTCCTTTCATTCCTGTTCATTTGGAGTTTCCAATGTCTGTTATTCCACTCTGTATGTCTGAAAGTCAAAAACCGCATGTTCTCACTTACAAGTGGAAGCTAAACAATGAAAGTTTAAACTCTAAATGAATTGCCAGGTGGTAGCATTTCTAGATTTGAGATTCTAGATAGTCTCATCTTCAGGGGAGTCAAGTTCTGGTGACAGTCCTTCTACTGAGGGATTTGAGGCATGGCTTCCTCTTTCACTTTTTTTTTTTTTTTTTTTTTTTTGTGAGACGGAGTGTTGCTCTGTTGCCCAGGCTGGAGTGCAGTGGTGCCATCTCGGCTCACTGTAATCTCTGCTTCCCAGGTTCAAGCGATTCTCCTGCCTCAGCCTCCCCAGTAGCTGGCATTACAGGCGTCCGCCACCACACCTGGCTAATTTTTGTATTTTGAGTAGAGGCAGGGTTTCACCATATTGGCCAGGCTGGTCTTCATCCACCCGCCTCGACCTCCCAAAGTGCTGGGATTACAGATGTGAGCCACCGCACCTGGCCCTCTTTCACTTTTAAAGGAACTTCCCAGAGAATCAGCCAGATACACAGTACAACTCCCAGTAGTCCAGGGAGCGTCGTCTACAGCATAGGCTCGGATGGGACAGCCTGCCTTCTTTGCCATGCTTTTGGATGACATAGTCCAGGGAGCGTCCTCTACAGCATAGGCTCGGATGGGGCCGCCTGCCTTCTTTGCCATGCTTTTGGAAGACATAGTCCAGGGAGCGTGCTCTACAGCATAGGCTCAGATGGGGCTGCCTACAAACTTCTTTGCCATGCTTTTGGATGACATGCTGTGGGAAGCAGGCAGGGAGGCAGGTGGGTCATGTTCAGTGTCAGAGCCCCATTGAAGCAGGGCTTATGGAAGAGAAACATTCACAGGATGTGAATGTTTGTGGAAAGCCCATGGCAACATTAGAATAGCAGTGCCTTCACTCAGCAGGTGCAGCAGAGGCTGAGTGTGCCTGGGTGGGTGAGGATGGGCCCAAAGTCAGGCTGCGCAGGAGAGCTGCCATTGAGGGGTTCGCATGGCTGCCCTGGGACAGGCTTCCTGGGGACAGTCTCAGGAAAGCTGTGTGTTTAGAATTTGTTGGAGGCTTTTTTCTTTTTTTTTTGAGACGGAGTCTCGCTCTGTTGCCCAGGCTGGAGTGCAGTGGCATGATCTCCACTCACTGCAAGCTCCGCCTCCCAGGTTCACGCCATTTTTCTGCCTCAGCCTCCCAAATAGCTGGGACTACAGATGCCCGCCACCACACCCGGCTAATTTTTTGTATTTTTAGTAGAGACGGGGTTTCACCATGTTAGCCAGAATGGTCTCGATCTCCTGACCTCGTGATCTGCCTTCTTCGGCCTCCCAATGTGCTGGGCTCCCACTGTGCCCAGCTTGGAGGCTTTTAAGAATTGGGTGGGGGCTGGGCATGGTGGCTCACACCTGTAATCCCAGCACTTTAGGAGGCCGAGGCAGGTGGATCGCCTGAGGTCAGGTGTTTGAGACCAGCCTGGCCAGCGTGGTGAAACCCCGTCTGTACTAAAAATACAGAAATTGTCCGGGTGTGGTGGTGGGCACCTGTAATCCAAGCTACTTGGGAGGCTGAGGCAGGAGAATTGCTTGAACCTGGGAGGCGGAAGTTTCAGTGAGGCTAGATTGCGCCATTGCGCTCCAGCCTCGGCAACAAGAGCAAAAACTCCATCTAAAAAAAGAACAAAAAGAATTGGGTTGGTAGCGGGAGGCACAGGTTACAGTGGCCAAGATCACACCACTGCACTCCAGCCTGGGCAACGGAGTGAGACTCTGTCTCAAAAATCCCGGGCGTGCGGTGGCTCATGCCTATAATCACAGCACTTTGGGACACCAAGGTGGGCAGATCACCTGAGGTCAGGAGTTCAAGATCAGCCTGGCCAACATGATGAAACCCCATCTCTACAAAAATACAAAAATTAGCCGGGCGTGGTGGCACATGCCTGTAGTCCCAGCCACTTGGGAGGCTGAGGCATGAAAATTGCCTGAACCTGGGCTGCAGAGGTTGCAGTGAGCTGAGATCGCACCACTGCACTCCACTTCACGCCAGCCAGGCTACGGAGTGAGACTGTGTCTCAAAAAAAAAAAAAAAAAAAAAGAGAATACATGGTATTGTTGCTAAGTATAGTCATTCTGCCCTGCTGTCAAACATTAGAGCTTCTTTTTTTTTATTTTTTTGAGAGGGAGTCTTGCTCCATCTCCCAGGCTGGAGTGCAATGGCGTGATCTTGGCTCACTGCAACCTCCACCTGCCAGGTTCAAGGGATCCTCCTGCCTCAGCCTCCCGAGTAGCTGGGACTACAGGTGTCCGCCACCATGCCCGGCTAATTTTCCTATCTTTAGTAGAGACAGGGTTTCACCATGTTGGCCAGCCTGGTCTCGAACTCCTGACCTCAAGTGTTCTGCCTGTTTTCAGCCTTCCAACTTATGTTTAAGTCTTTAGTCTATCTTGAGTTGACTTTTGTGTATGGTGACACATAGAGGTCCGGTTTTATTTTTCTGCACATGGCTATTAAGTTTTCCTAGCTACATTTATTGAAAAGTATATCCTTTCCCCAGTGTATGTTCTTGCTGGCTTTGTTGAGGATCAATGGGAGTAAATATGTAGATTTATTTCTGGGTTCTTTATTCTGTCCCATTGGTCTGTGTGTCTTTTTATACAAATGCCAGGCTATTTTGGTTACTCTAGGCTTATAATTTGTTTTGAAGTCAGGAGGTGTGTTGCCTTCAGCATTGTTCTTTTTGCTCAGGATTGCTTTGGATATTTGGGCTCTTTTTTGGCTTCATATGAATTTTTTTTTTCTATTTCCCTGAAAAATATTGCTGTTATATTGACAGGGATTGCATTGAATCTCGTAGCATTATCTGCAACAACCTAGCAACCAGGTGTCATCAACTGAAGGATGATAGCAAAAGTCAGTTCTCACACATGCTGCAACATGGAGGACATTGTGCTGAGCGAAACAAGCCAATCACAAATGACAAAGCCGGTGATTCCGCTTATGTGAGGCACCCACTGCAGTGACATTCATAGAGACAGGAAGTAGAATGGTGGTTCCAGGGGTGGGGGGAGGGGAAATATGGGAGTTGGTGTTTATGGGTACAAAGCTTCAGTGTGTGAAGATGGAGTGTGGAGATGGATGGTGGTGATGGCTGCACAGCAATGTCAGTGTACTTCACAGGACTGAGCTGAACACTTCAAAATGGTTAAGATGATAAAGTTTATGTTATGTATATTTTACCAAAATAAAACATGCTTTTCGGATTTTGTAGACTCCTCCTTGAGAGGAGTGCTGCCTGCAGTGCAGCCATGCTGTGGAGATGTGGAGGGGAAGGGAGTTGTCTCGTGAGAGTGTAAACTGAGATCCAGGCGTCCCATTTCGAGTCCCCAAGCCTTCCACACTTGCACTGGCTCTGGGGTGGATGTATTCTTTCTCATTGCCTTTCCTGTCATACCCACGCTCCTCATACCTGGGCACGCTCCCGTCCCTAGGTGGAGACGGAACGAGGTTAGTTCTGCTGCTTCTGGGGACCCTCCGGACCCTGACATGAGGTCATTGCCCCTTGTGTGTCTCCCTGGTGCATGTCCTCAGCACCCCCGGCCCTCTCCTGTCCCCTGACCCTGAGGGATGATGGCCTATTCACTCATTTGCATTCCCCCCCATCCCAGCTCTTCCAGGGCTGTCACGTGTCCACTGGGAGGAATGGGCTGGACACGGAGCAGAGGCATCTAACTGGCCACAGGGAGCCGCAGAGTGAGGATGGCGAACCTGAGCCTTTTATTTTATGAAAGGATTTCGGAGCTGTCTTCAGGTGCCTCGGAGCTGACCTTACTTACGTCCTACTAAGCAACAGAATCTAGAGTTACTGCCAGCTCTGATCTTTATCTGACCCTGAGAGGAGATCACTGATATAGGCATGGTGAGAAGGGCGTGAGAGTCGGGAGTCTTTGAATGGCTCGCAGCCTGTGCTTGGTTTCCTTAATGCTGTTTCCATCAGAAAAGGAGATAAAGGAGGGCTGCTGCGTACCGAAGCCCCATGGTGTCCCAGACTCATGCCATGTTGTGATTCTGTGGTGGACTGGGCTCCGCTGGGCGACTCTCCAGCAGCTGCAAGCAGATGGTGGCTGGGGCTGGAGTCAACTCAGTGCCGGACAGGACTGGGCAGCCATGCAGATGGCATCTTCACTCGAGTCTGGGGTAGCTGGACAGCTGAGGGCTTGCTGAGCATTGCTGTCTCTGCTCTCCCTTCCTCTATCCCTGTGGCTTCTTCACACAGGGCTCCCTTGGACGCCCTTACAGCGTGCTGGTCTCTGGGAAGCCAGACCCCTTCCATGGTGTGTGGCTTTCCCTTGGCAAAGCCTCCTAAGGACCACGGTGGAAGCTTGGTGGATCCTTGTAGTGCTGCTTCTGCCACATCTCTTGGCTTGCTCGGGCTGCTCAAGTGCAGTGTGGGAGGGAATGTATAAGGATGTGAATGCCAGGGGCAAGATACAGAAGAGGAGGTTCAGATTTGCAGAGATCCTCACACGTGCCTGGTCACACAACTGGTGGTGCCGGAATGTGAACACAGCTGGGGCTGATTTTGGTATTGTTCTCTCACCCTGCCCCCTGTAGGGTGGTTAGGGGGAAGATAGATAAATCCACCTACAGATAAGGCATTTTTTTTTTAAGACAGGGTCTTTTTCCGTCGCCCAGGCTGGAGTACATTGGCGTGATCTTGGCTCACTGCAGCTTCGACCTCCTGGGCTCAAGTGATCCTCCTACCCCAGCCTCCCGAGTAGCACCACCTCTGCATCTAGCTAATTTTTATATATTTTTTTTTTAGAGACAAGATCTTGCTATGTTGTCCAGGCTGGTCTTGAACTCCTAGGGCTCAAGTGGTCCTCCACCTCAGCCTCCCAAAGTGCTGGGATTACATGTGTGAGCCACCATGCATGGCCCCAGATAAGGCTTTTCTAGGAGGGACTTAACTCTTTATTTAGAAAAAGGCTGTACTCTGATGCTGGGCAAACAGAAATTCATTTTCATTTTCTTATGATAGAAGCAGGAAGACATCACCAATGTAAATTTCTACATGAAACCAACAATCCTTGGTCTTACTGAATTGCTGTTGGACAGAATATATTTTGCCCTCAAAAATATTTATAGTATAAATGTAATTTATATTTATATTTTCAGTTCTTTTTTTTTCTTTTTTCTTTTTTTAGAGATAGGGTCTTGTTATGTTGATCAGGCTGGTCTCCCACTCCTGGCCTCAAGTGATCCTCCCATCTTAGCCTTCCAAATTACTAGGATTCCAGGCGTGAGCCACTACACCCAGCTATTTTCAGTTCTTTAATTAAGCCCTTAATGAATACCAATTTCTTTTTTGTTTTAACCATGAGGGACTAGAAAAGATCACTTTCAGAAAGGAAATGTTCAGTCTCACACTCCTACTCTGCAGCCAGGAGCCTGTGAATGTAAACGGTCCCTTTTAGATGCTGCCAGGGCTGGTCTGAGAGGCCATGTCCCCGACCCATGCAGGGACAGGGTTGCCTGACTCGTGCCCAGCCGGGGCTCTTTACTGTGATATAATTATTCAGCAGAGTATATCTTGAGTTTCCAGAACCTAGGCTTAGTCATATTTTTAAAAAGCATTTTTTCCTGATTGTAGAATACATAGTCATTGTTTAAAATCTGGAAAGTACAGAAAATGGTGGTTCGGAAAGTGGAACTTACTCATCTCTCCACCTGGAGGTGGCTGCTATTACAATTGAGGTTTCTTTTTTTTTTTTTTTAGATAAAGTCTCGCTCTGTCACCCAGGCTGGAGTGCAGTGGCGCGATCTCAGCTCACTGCAACTTCCGCCTCCCAGGTTCAAGCGATTCTTGTGCCTCAGCCTCCCGAGTAGCTGGGATTACATGTGAACACCACCATGCCCGGCTAATATATTTGGGTTTTTTTTTTTTGGACGGAGTCTCGCTCTGTTGCCCAGGCTGGAGTGCAGTGGTGTGATCTCTGCTCACTGCAAGCTCTGTCTCCCGGGTTCACACCATTCTCCTGCCTCAGCCTCCCAAGTAGCTGGGACTACAGGCGCCCGCCATCACACCCAGCTAATTGTTTTTTGTACATTGAGTAGAGACGGGGTTTCACCATGTTAGCCAGGATGGTCTCGATCTCCTGACCTCGTGATCCACCCGCCTCGGCCTCCCAAAGTGCTGGGATTACAGGCGTGAGTCACCGCGCCTGGCTTTTTTTTTTTTTTGAGATGGAGTTTTGCTCGTTTCCCAGGCCAGAGTGCAATGGTGCAATCTCGGCACACTGCAACTTCCACCTCCCGTTCAAGCAGTTCTCCTGCCTCAGCCTCCCAAGTAGCTGGGATTATAGGCATGCGCCACCACGCCTGGCTAATTTTGTATTTTTAGTAGAGTTGAGTTTTCACTATATTGGCTAGGCTGGTCTTGAACTCCTGACCTCACGTGATCCGCCCACCTCGGCCTCCCAAAGTATTGGGATTACAGCAGGCGTGAGCCACCGCTCCTGGCCATATATTTCTAGTCACATTCAGTAATTATATTTCAAAACCGATTTTTTTTTTTTTTTGAGACGGAGTCTTGCTCTGTCACCCAGGCTGGAGTGCCGTGGCACAATCTCGGCTCACTGCAAGCTCCGCCTCCTGGGTTCATGCCATTCTCCTTCCTCAGCCTCCCCAGCAGCTGGGACCACAGGCACCTGCCACTACGCCCGGCTAATTTCTTTTTGTATTTTTAGTAGAGACGGGGTTTCACCATGTTAGCCAGGATGGTCTTGATCTCCTTACCTTGTGATCCCCCCGCCTCAGCCTCCTAAAATGCCGGGATTACAGGCGTGAGCCACCGCGCCCGGCCTCAAAACTGATTCTTAATGAAAAAATCCTATGCACAAAACATATGTTAACACCACCTATCAGATGTTCTAAGAAACATATATGCTAAAAATCTTTTTTTTTTTTTTTTTTGGAGACAGAATCTCGCTCTGTCGCCCAGGCTGGAGTGCAGTGGCGCGATCTCAGCTCACTGCAGGCTCCGCTTCCCGGGTTCACACCATTCTCCTGCCTCAGCCTCCCGAGTAGCTGGGACTACAGGCGCCCGCCACCATGCCCAGCTAATTTTTTGTATTTTAAGTAGAGACGGGGTTTCACCGTGTTGGCCAGGATGGTCTTGATCTCCTGACCTTGTGATCTGCCTGCCTCGGCCTCCCTAAGTGCTGGGATTACAGGCATGAGCCACTGTGCCTGGCCTATCCTAAAAATCTTAAAAAAAAAAACCGGCAGGGTGCACTGGCTCATGTCTGTAATCCCAGCACCTTGGGAGGCTGAGACGGGTGGATCACGAGGTCAGGAGATCGAGACCATCCTGGCCAACACGGTGAATCCCCGTCTCTACTAAAAATACAAAAAATTAGTCGGGTGCCTGTAGTCCCAGCTACTCGGGAGTCTGAGGCAGGAGAATGGCGTGAACCCGGGAGGCGGAACTTGCAGTGAGCCGAGATCGCGCCACTGCACTCCAGCCTGGGCGACAGAGCGAGACTCCGTCTCAAAAAAAAAAAAAAAAAAAAAAAAAAACCTCTTTATTGTGGTAAATATCAAATATGTTCAAAGTAGAGGAAGTAGTTAATGAATCCCATGTACATATCACCCTTGGTTAACAATGATCATTTCTCACCCATACACTGTGGGTGGCAATGTAAATTAGTTCAACCCCTGTGGAAAACAGGATGGAGATTTTTCAAAGAACTAAAAGTAGATCTACCATTCAACCCAGCAATCCCAGTACTGGGTGTCTACTCAAAGGAAAATAAATAGTTTTATCAAAAAGACACATGCACTTGTATGTTTACTGTGGCACTACTTACAATAGCAGTGTCATGGAATTAACCTAAGTGTTCACCGACAGTTGACCAGATAAAGAAAATGTGACACATATACACATATGGAATACTATGCAGCCATAAAAAGAACAAGATCACGTCCTTCACAGCAACATGGATGGAGCTGGAGGCCATTATCCTAACTCACAGAAAATCAAATACCACATGTTCTTACTTATATGTGGGAGCTAAACACATAGACATAAAGATGAATATAATAGTTTGTAATCCCAGTAATCTGCCGAGGTGGGCAGATCACTTCAGCCCAGGAGTTCAAGACCAGCCTGGGCAACATGGCGAAACCTCATCTCTAAAAAAAATACAAAAATTGGCCGGCCAGCGCAGTGGCTCACACCTGTAATCCCAGCACTTTGGGAGGCCAAGGTGGGCAGATCACGAGGTCAGGAGATCGAGACCATCCTGGCTAACACGGTGAAACCCCATCTCTACTAAAAATACAAAAAATTAGCCAGGTGTGGCGGCAGGCGCCTGTAGTCCCAGCTACTCGGGAGGCTGAGTCAGGAGAATGGCGTGAACCCAGGAGGCGGAGGTTGCAGTGAGCCGAGATCGCACCATTGCACTCCAGCCTGGGCGACAGAGCAAGACTCTGTCTCAAAAAAAAAAAAAAATTAGGCGAGTGTTGTGGTGCACCTGTAGTCTCAGCTACTGGGGAGGCTGAGATAGGAGGATGGCTTGAACCCAGGAGGTTGAGGCTTCAGGGAGCCAAGATCGCACCACTGCACTCCAGCCTGGGAGACAGAATGAGACCCTGTCTCAAAAAAAAAAAAAAAAAAAAAAAAAAAAGGGAAAGAAAAGATGATGTAATAGACACTGGGGACTGCTAGAGGGGAAGGGTAGAAGACTGGGGTGAGGGTTGAAAAATTACCTGTTGGGTACTATGTGCACTATTTGGGTGATGAGTTCACTAGAAGCCCAAACCCCAGCATTGCACAATATACGCAAAGAACAAACCTGCCCATGGTCCCCTGAATTACTCAACCACAACAACAACAAATCATCCTTCCTCAGCAATTTCGCTTTATCTATACCCCAGTGCCAACCCCACCCACACCCCTGTAGGATTTTTTTGAAATAGATCCCAAGCAAATTACCATTTCATCTGCATATTGCCACGAGTCTTTCTTTGTTAAACATAATACCTTTATTGCACCAGAAAATTAAGAATAATTTTTTAATGTTCTCACATGTCTGGTTAGTGTTTAAATTTCTGTGATTATCTTGCAAGTTTTGCCCAGTTCATCTTTTAGAATCAGGATGCAGTTAAGACCTACACGTTGGGTGGTACAGCTCTTTATCATGTAATTTAAAAAATGAGGCAGTGGGCTGGGCGTGGTGGCTGACGTCTATAATCCCAACACTTTTGGGAGGCTGAGGTGAGCGGATCACCTGAGGTCAGGAGCTCGAGACCAGCCTGACCAACATGGTGAAGCCCCGTCTCTACTAAAAATACAAAATTGGCACCGGGCATCGTGGCTCACGCCTGTAATCCCAGCACTTTGGGAGGCCGAGGTGGGCATATCACAAGGTCAGGAGATTGAGACCATCCTGGCTAACACGGTAAAACCCCATCTCTACTAAAAATACAAAAAAAATTTAGCCGGACGTGGTGGCAGGCACCTGTAGTCCCAGCTACTTGGGAGGCTGAGGCAGGAGAATGGCGTGAACCCGGGAGGTGGAGCTTGCAGTGAGCTGAGATCACGCCACTGCACTCCAGCCTGGGCGACAGTGCGAGACTCCGTCTCAAAAAAAAAAAAAGAAAAAAAAAAAATTAGCCTGGTGTGATGTCGCATGCCTGTAGTCCCAGCTACTCGGGAGGCTGAGGTTGCAGGGAGCCGAGATCATGCCACTGCACTCCAGCTTGGGTGACAAGAGTAAAACTCCAGCTCAAGAAAAAAAAAAAAAGAGGCAGTATACACTGAGCCCACCCCATGTATGTCAGTTTATGTCCTGTGGTTGTGTTCAGTCTGTCGTGAGCTTGTCCCCCTGTTAGATGTTCTTTGCAAACATATTCAGGGCTGCATGAATGTTACCGTTCTACTTTTACAGGGCATGGACATTTCCAGTTCCTTACCAGTGCACATGACAGAGCTCATTATCCTAGATTTTTCTGTTCACATCAGCAGAGCACGCTAGTACAGGTATAATACTTGACATCTACCCGTCATGTATCAAGGAGTCGGCCAGCTTGGCTTCTCAGGCCTCAGGGTGCGTGGGGGCAGTGTTGATCACTGTGGTGGGGGAAAGGATGAGAGAGATTGCCTTTAGTTAAGGCAGAGAGGAAGAGGGTGCTCTGTAGGGGCAGACAACACTTCTAGCGACTTTTTTTTTTTTTTTTTTTTTTTTGAGAGACAGAGTCTTGCTCTGTCACCCAGGCTGGAGTGCAGTGGCATGATCTCGGCTCACTGCAACTTCCACCTCCCGGGGTTCAAGCAGTTCTCCTGCCTCAGCCTCCCGAGTAGCTAGGACTACAGGCACCCGCCACCGCGCCCAGCTAATTTTTGTATTTTTAGTAGAGACGGGGTTTCACCATATTGGCCAGGCTGGTCTCGAACTCCTGACCTTGTGATCCATATGCCTTGGCCTCCCAAAGTGTTAGGATTACAGGCGTGAGCCACTGCGCCTGGCTGTGACTTTTTATGTGTTTGTATTCACTGAGGACTGTGTACACTGATGATTCTCAGTAAATATTTGATAGATGGAATAAAGAAATAGAATAGAGATACTGCACTGAGCTTCCCTGGAGGGAGGATGGAGAGGAAGAAGCATGTGTTAATATGTGCTGTACTCTTAATTTCCATCTGAAACAGGGAATGACATTTCCCATAGAAACTGCAAGAAACTTTATTACAGTGGTTAGTTGTATTAGGGTCAGCATTGTGTGGGCTAACCCAGAAACTTAACTTTTTAAATTAAAAAAATTAAGGGTCGGGCACGGTGGCTCACGCCCGTAATCCCAGCACTTTGGGAGGCCGAGGCAGGCAGATCACGAGGTCAGGAGTTCGAGACCAGCCTGACCAACATGGTGAAACCCTGTCTCTACTAAAAATACAAAAATTAGCCAGGCGTGGTGGCACATGCCTGTAATCACAGCTACTTGAGAGACTAAGGCAGGAAAAGCACTTGAACCCGGGAAGTGGAGGTTGTGGTGAGCCGAGATCACGCCACTGCCCTTCAACCTGGGCGACAGAGTGAGACTCTGTCTCAAAAAAAAAAAAAAAAAATTTAAACCACTTTATTGGGGTATGATTAATATATAAAAAGCTGTGCATGTTTAATGTACACACCTCCATGAGTGCACGAATAAGTGTGCTACCTGTGAAATCCTCACCACCAAGAAATTTAACTGTCATTTATCAACTATTTCTTGTTTAAGTATTGGGGTATAATTGCATAGAATAAGCTGCACAGATCTTAAAGGTACAGTTTGATGAGTTTTGACAAATGAATATGCCTGTGTAACCAACAGCCCAGTGAAGAAATTGATTGTTGCTGCCACCCTAGAAAGTTCCCTGGTGCCTCATCCCCCATACCAAGGTGCCTACTCTTCTGATGCCCATCTGCATAGGTTGAATTAATTTTGCCTGTTCCCATGCTTCATATAAATGGAATTATATAGTATGTATTCTCTTACGTCTGCTTTTGCTGGACATAGTTTGAAGATTCATCGTGATGTGGGTATCAGCAATATGTTCCTTATTATTGCTGAGTAGTGTTGTGTTGTTTGAGTATACCAGTTTACATATCCATTCTCCTGTTGATGAACTTTTTTTTTTTTGGGTGGGTGGTGACAGAGACTCTTGCTCTGTCGCCCATGCTGGAGTGCAGTGGTGCGATCTTGGCTCACTGTAACCTCTGCCTACCGGGTTCAAGCGATTCTCCTGCCTCAGCCTCTCCAGTAGCTGGGATTATAGGCAGCTGTCACCATGCCTGGCTAAGTTTTGTATTTTTAGTAGAGATGGGATTTCACTATGTTGGCCAGGCTGGTCTCAAACTCCTGACCGCGGGTGATCCACTCACCTCGGCCTCCCAAAGTGCTGGGATTATAGGCATGAGCCACCACATCTGGCTGGGTTCCCAAAGTGCTGGGATTATAGGCATGAGCCACCACGCCTGGCTGGGTTCTACCGTATTATTGACTGGTAAGAGTGTGTGTGTGTATATGTATATATTACGTATGTATATATATACTCACACATATATACGCATATATTAACCATACAGATATATGTTATATATCTGGATACAAGTTTTTGTCAGATACAGGGATTGGAAATATTTTCTCTGTGGCTTGCCTTTTCATTTTCTTAAAAGTGCCTTTTTTTTTTTTTTTTTTTTTTTGAGACGGAGTCTCACTCTGTTGCGTAGGCTGGAGTGCAGTGGCGTGATCTTGGCTCACTGCAACCTCTGCCCCCCTGGTTCAAGTGATTCTCCTGCCTCAGCCTCCTGAGTAGCTGGGATTACAGGCACCTGCTACCGGGCCCGGCTAATTTTTTTTTTTTTTTTTTTTTTGAGACAGAGTCTTGCTCTGTCGCCCAGGCTGGAGTGTAGTGGCGTGATCTCAGCTCACTGCAGACTCTGCCTCCCAAGTTCATGCCATTCTCCTGCCTCACGCTCCCGAGTAGCTGGGACTACAGGCACCCGCCACCACGCCCGGCTAATTTTTTGTATTTTTAGTAGAGACGGGGTTTCACTGTGTTAGCCAGAATGATCTCGAGCTCCTGACCTTGTGATCTGCCCGCCTCGGCCTCCGAAAGTGCTGGGATCACAGGCGTGAGCCACCGTGCCCGGCCTTGTTTTTGTTTTTTTGAGACAGGGTCTCACTCTGTTGCCCAGGCTGGAATGCAGTGGCGTGATCTTGGCTCACTGCAACCTCTGCCTCCCTAGTTCGAGCGATTCTCCTGCGTCAGCGTCCTGAGTAGCTGGGATTACAGGCATGAACCACCACATCCAGCTAATTTTTTAAATTTTTAGTAGAGACGGGGTTTCATCATGTTGGCCAGGCTGGTGTCGAACCCCTGACCCCAGGTGATTCACCCACCTCAGCCTCCCAAAGTGCAAGGATTACAGGTGTGAGCCACCGCACCCAGCTGGGCCCGGCTAATTTTTGTATTTTTAGTAGAGAAAGGGTTTCACCATCTTGGCCAGGCTGGTCTTGAACTCCTGACCTCGTGATCCACCCGCCCCGGCCTCCTAAAGTGCTAGGATTACAGTCATGAGCCACTGCGCCTGGCCTAAAAGTTCCTCTTGAGGAGCACGAATGTTTAGTTTTGTTGAAGTCTAATTTGTCTGTTTTTTTCCTATCTGGTCGGTGCTTTTGATTTCTGCCTGAGAAATCTTTGTCTCTCCTCAGGTCACAATGGCATCTTCTTGTGTGTTCTTAGAGCTTCACAGCTTTAGTGTTTAGCGTTAGGTCCGTAAGCCACGTTGAGTTACAGGATGGTCTGAGGCATGAATTAAACTTCAACGTTTTCTCTACAACATCCAGTTGGTCCAGCACCATTTGTTGGAGACTTTTCCATTGAATTGTACTGGTGCTTCATTCAGTCTGTGATCTGGCTGTACATGTATGGACCGATTTCTGAACTCTATTCCGTTGTGTTTGTCTATCCTTATGCCAGTACCATACTGTCTTGATTATATAGTTTTATAGTAAATTTTTTTTTTTTTAAGACGGAGTCCGCTCTGTCGCCCAGGCTGGAGTGCAGTGGCGCAATCTTGGCTCACTGCAAGCTCCGCCTCCTGGGTTCACACCATTCTCCTGCCTCAGCCTCCCGAGTGAGTAGCTGGGACTACAGGCACCTGCCACCATGCCTGGCTAATTTTTTGCATTTTTAGTAGAGATAGGATTTCACTGTGTTAGCCAGGATGGTCTCAATCTCCTGACCTCATGATCCACCTGCCTCAGCCTCCCAAAGTGCTGGGATTACAGGCGTGAGCCACCATGCCCAGCCTATGGTAAATCTTAAAATTAGATAGTATATGTCATAAAACTTTGTCTTTTTTCCATAATTGCCAAACTATTTCTTAGGAAAAATAAGTTCTGCATATCTAATAACCAACAGGCAAAAGAACTTCAAATATTAAGTCCATGAGTTAAGTTGGTGCACAGCAGTGCTCAGTTAATGTTTCAGAAGGCAGTTAATGCCTTCCTCTGGCTGTGCCGGTGTCAGGAAAGAATATTTATTTATTCTTAGTCCTTCTTAGAGAACTCTGTAGGACCGGGCGCGGTGGCTCACGCCTGTAATCCCAGCACTTTGGGAGGCCGAGGTGAGCGGATCACCTGAGGTCAGGAGTACAAGACCATCCTGACCAATATGGTGAAACCCTGTCTCTACTAAAAATACAAAAATTAGCTGGGTGTGGTGGCGCAGCCTGTAATGCCAGCTACTCAGGAGGCTGAGGCAGGAGAACTGTTTGAACCCAGGAGTCAGAGGTTGCAGTGAGCAGAGATCACACCAGTGCACTCCAGCCTGGGCAAGAGAGTGAGACTCTGTCTCAAAAAGAAAAAGAAAAAGAAAAATCTGTAAAAACTATGTTACATCTTTTTTATACATTAATTTACAAAGAACTAGTTATCCACTCTTGCTTGGCTTTTATCAGCAACTTCTGTTGTTGATGTTAGAAGCACACATAAGTGGAAGCAATCTTTTTGTGGAATAATTAGAAGGTAAATACATTGGATGCCCATCTATATTTTTATACTATAAAGCTGTATTTTATTTATTTTTTTTTACTTATTTATTTATTTATTTTGGGATGGAGTCTCACTCTGTCGCCCAGGCTGGAGTGCAGTGGCGCGATCTCGGCTCACTGCAAGCTCCGCCTTCTGGGTTCACACCATTCTCCTGCCTCAGCCTCCCGAATAGCTGGGACTACAGGCGCCCGCCACCACGCCCAGCTAATTTTTTGTATTTTTAGCAGAGACGGGGTTTCACCGTGTTAGCCAGGATGGTCTTGATCTCCTGACCTTGTGATCCGCCCGCCTCGGCCTCCCAAAGTGCCGGGATTACAGGCGTGAGCCACCGCGCCCGGCCTAAAGCTGTATTTTAAGGACATTTCCGACACATTTATAACTAAATGGAAGGTCTAAAGCCACATGCCCCTGGTTGGACAGCATCACTGTCAGTTGATACTGTCATCCTGGCAAGGCTCTTTTGTGTTTGCACAAACACTTCTTTGTTTTATAGTTTAGCTGTTATAAACAGCTATGCAACTCTCAGCACCCAGGGTTTCCAATGAGAGGAAAACCAATGGAACTTAGCGATCATATCCTCTGCAGCCCACACCTAGGAGTGGGGGAGGAGACGTGAGTGTGGCAAGACAAACAGCATCCTCTGCATCCTTCAGTGCTGCAGCTCCCTGTTGTTGCTGAGGCCGGAGGACCTGCAGATTAATAGAGGACCGTCATCAACTGGGAAGAGGAGAAGCTTGGGCATAGATACCTACTGAGAGTGCTGGCTAATGAGCTTTCGGAACAACAGTGCTTAGGGGCAGCAATGCTTAGGGTGAAACTGTGAAGAAACCCAGTTGTTTTAGATATCCTCACAGATATCTGTATGACGGGCCAAGGGCTAATATGGAATGCAGACTCCTAGGAGCTCCTGGCAAAAGAAGGAGGAGGGAAAATGGAGCAGCCAACTCAGTGAGGAAGCTGGGCACACAGCCATGCACTTCCTGCAGGGCAGAACAGGGGACACCCCTGGACCGAGGCTCTCAGGGACCATGTGCAGGAGCTTCACTTTTGTTTATGGGTAGGGGTATGGGACAGGTACCTGGATGGAGAAAAACCTGACTTGCTTAATGTCTGTGGATGCAGAAAAATTTTGCCTAATACTGGTTTAAAAGGTGAGGGTGACCTATACACCTTTTGATTTGTGCAAATCCAGGCTCTTGATGGAGAGTACAAGTTGCAGGGCCTGAAATGCTTGGAACTGAACTGGACCCTTTGGGAAAAGAACAAAAACCATTTTGTTCACTTTGCCATTCCTGTGTACCTGGTATTCCAGGTTCCTCCTCATTTTGTGACTTTTGACATTTTATAAACTGCCAAAAACATATACTATGTGATGATCAATGTTGGGATAACCATAGCAGTGAAAGGGGGGTGCCTATGGGCCTCATTGCACTGGTCACTGTCATCCTTGACCAGCTTTCACTGTAGGAGGGTCACACAGTCCAGCTGCTGTAGCAGGAATCCCATGACTTCACAAAACGTCCTGACCAAACCATGTTCATTACAATAAAAGGACAGCTGGATGTGGTGGCCCACGCCTGTAATCCCAGCTACTTGGGAGGCTGAGGCAGGAGAATCACTTGAACCTGGGAGATGGAGGTTGCAGTGAACTGAGAGACCATGCCACTACACCCCAGCCTGGGCAACAGAGTGAGACCCTGTCTCAAAAAGAAAAAAAAAATCTAAAAACCCAATAAAAACAAAATCAAAAGTTGGTTCTTTGAAAAGAACAATGAAATTGACAAACCTTTAGCTAGACTGACCAAGCAAAAAAGAAGAATCAAATTACTAAAATCAGGAATGAAAAAGGAGATATTTTCTGTATGCCCTTAGGATAATTTCCACAGAGTTTAAATTCACTTGTGTGTGTGTGTGTGTGTGTGATGGAGTCTCTCTCTGTTGCCCAGGCTGGAGTGCAGTGGCACAATCTCGGCTTACTGCAAGCTCTGCCTCCCAGGTTCATGCCATTTTCCTGCCTCAGCCTCCCAAATAGCTGGGACTACAGGCGCCCACCACCATGCCCAGCTAATTTTTTTTTGTATTTTTTTTAGTAGAGACGGGGTTTCACTGTGTTAGCCGGGATGGTCTCGGTCTCCTGACCTTGTGATCCACCAACTTCGGCCTCGCAAAGTGCTGGGATTACAGGCATGAGCCACTGCACCCGGCCCACTTTGTTAAGTACTTTATTTATTAGTTATGGTGGTTTTGTTGGGAAACTGGTCCACAGACTTTTCACACTAGTATTCTGGACCTGATGACCTTTCACTCAAGTATTCGGCATGCATTTTGGGATAGCCACTTTGATTAGCACATTTAGAAATCTAACATTGATTCTGTATTAATAGCTGACTCTCCTACAGTGCCCACCATGGGACATTCTTAAGCTTCGCTAAACTTTCTGCTTCATAGGACACCCTGGGTCCTGTTTGTATTAGATACACTGAGAGGGACACCAGACAGGAGCCCCAGTGGTGCCAGGCTGTCTTCTCCAGTGGAGCCTGGCAGCAGAGGTAGGGCGTGGCTCAGGGCTGGGAGACAGCCACAGCAGGCAGGTGGCACAACTGATGCTGGGGACTTTGACCACTTGGCTAAGCCAGTGTCCATCAGGCTTATCTATAAAGATAACTTTTTCTGTTCATAATTAATAAGAAAAACCCATGGAGGTGACTCAGTAAATTTTCATTCGCTTGTTTTAGTATCCGTTAATGATTCTTGCCTAAATCAGTTTTTACTGTGATGTGATCAAATAGCAATATTCTTTTTTTTGAGACAGTGTCTCACTCTATCACCCAGGCTGGAATGAAGTGGCATGATCATGGCTAACTGCAGCCTCATCCTCCTGGGCTCAAGCGATTCTTCTGTCTCAGCCTCCTGAATAGCTGGGACCACAGGCATGCACCACCACACCCAGCTAATTTTTAAATTTTTTGTAGAGATAGAGTCTTGCTATGTTGCCCAGGCTGACCTTGAACTCCTAGGCTCAAGTGATCATCCTGCCTCAGGCTTCCAAAATGCTGGCATTACAGGTGTGAGCCGCCGGGCCCAGCCCCCATTTCATTTTGTAAGTACTTTTTCTAATACTTGTAGCTCTGCTGCTCCATTAAGCAGGCTAGCAGGCTATGTGTCTTATACCAAATTGTGGTTTTCCTACTGAGAATAAAAACAATTAGAATTAGTTACTGTGGCTGGGCACGGTGATTCACTCCTGTAATCACAGCACTTTGGGAGGCTGAGGTGGGTGGATCACTTGGAGCCAGGAATTGAAGACCAGCCTGGCCAATATAGCAAAACCCCCTCTCTACTAAAAATACAAAAATTAGCCGCACGTGGTGGTGCACGCCTGTAATCCCAGCTACTTGGGAGGCTGAAGCATGAGAATTGCTTGAACCCAGGAGGCAGAGGTTGTAGTCAGCTGAGATCGTGCCACTGCACTCCAGCCTCAGCGACAGAGTGATACTCCATCTCAAAAAAAGGAAAAGGAAAAAAGAATTCATTACTGTAATCTGTGGTTAACAACAAAAAATCTCCTCAAAAAATGCTTAGCAGGCCAGGCGTGCTGCACACCTGTAATCCAGCAGTTTGGGAGTCTGAGGCAGGCGGATCACCTGAGGTCAGGAGTTCGAGACCAGCCTGACCAATTTGGTGAAACCCCGTCTCTACTAAAAATTCAAAAATTAGCCAGGTGTGGTGGCATGCTCCTGTAGTCTCAGCTACTCGGGAGGCTGAGACGGGAGAATTGTTTGAACCCGGAAAGTGGAGGTTTCAGTGAGTCAACATCGCACCAGTGCATTCCAGCCTGGGTGACAGAGTGAGACTCTGTCTGAAAAAAAAAAAAAGGCCAGGCGCGGTGGCTCACACCTGTAATCCCAGCATTTTGGGAGGCCGAGGTGGGCGGATCACCTGAGATCGGGAGTTCAAGATCAGCCTGACCAACGTGGAGAAACCTCGTCTCTACTAAAAAAAAATACAAAATTAGCTGGGCATGGTGGCACATGCCTGTAATCCCAGCTACTAGGGAGGGTGAGGCAGGAGAATCGCTTGAACCTGGGAGGAGGCGGAGGTTGCGGTGAGCCGACATCGCGCCATTGCACTCCAGCCTGGGCAACAAGAGTGAAACTCTGCCTCAAAAAAAAAAGTGCTTAGGAGCATTTTGCCATATCTGAAGGACAAACCTGTCTCAAAGGTTGGGAGACCTCTCACCATACACACCTGTCAAGAGGCAGGGGGAGGGAGGAAGGTGCTGGGGCTCCGCCTGCCCTGCGTGGGATGGGTGGGGTAACCTGAGAGGATGCCGGCAAGTCTCAGGTCAAATGTCAGAGCATCAGGTGAGTGTAAGGATGTGGTTCCCGCATGGCTGAAAGAAGAGTCGTATCAGAAGAGTTATAAATAATGAAAATTGAGTGACTTGTTTAAGCAGGAAGTCAAACCCTATGATAATAAAATTCTTATATAAATGGACTACAGTAAATGCATGAGAGAGTTGGACTTTAAAGACTCAAACCCTTTTGAGATAAAAATAAAACTCCATCAAAGGAATATCTTTGTGGTAGCTTGTTGGGTGAAAGAAAACTGATGTATAAAGATCTCATTTCCTTATTTGGGTCAGCCTGTGTTGGTTGCAAAAAATATCTTGACTTTGCCACTTTCGGTGGTCTCTAATGCTGCCATTTATAGATGAAAGATTCTCTTTAGGGTGAATAAACAGTATGACATTCATTCTTTTCAATTTTAGTTTTCATGTCAAAAGTTTCTCGCTTGTAAACCTCTTCCTGATATACGTAGCTGGTAAACCCACTTTTCTGACATTTTTTATCTCATTTTTTATAGGTACTTCCTATTTAACAGACATTGTGTGGTGGGCTGGCACAATCGCAAGTAAGTAGCCTGTGTGGCGAAGTCTGGTCTTTTCCTTTCTTAGAATCCATCACTGGTCTGGGCAGGGCTGGAGTGGCTGGGCTAGGGTGGCTCTGTTCTTTGGAAGAGGGTGTCGCGTGGCCTCTCCCCAGGCCCTAAGCGTGCCTTTCAGTTCGGATGTCCCTGCCTCCCCAGGGCACTCTCCCTGCTCCCCTTCCTCCCAGGATGAGAGTGCAGAAGGACAAGTTAGGAGCTGGTGGAGGCCCCTGCTGCCCACGATTAGCCGTGAATTCAGTCCAGGCTGATCTGTCCTGGGCCCGAAGAAATTAAAACAGCTCCTGCTTACTCATGTAGTCGGGCTGTTGGCATTTGGTGAAATTCCATGTTAGGCTGCCTTGTTTTTCTCAGCACAGTTGGTTTAACAGAGAATTTCATGAGTCAAAGATCAGGTCATGTGCTATAATGTAAAGATAAATAATAATATTAGAGTTCAGAACTCTAAATGTATTATAAAGGACAATTGTCTTTGAAATTCAGAAATATTATGTTTGGCCAGGCATGGTGGCTCACGCCTGTAATCCCAGCACTTTGGGAGGCTGAGACAGGTGGATTGTTTGAGCCCAGGAGTTCAAGACCAGCCTGGGAAACATGGCAAAACCCTGTCTGTACAAAAACAAAAATTACCTGGGCATGGTGGGATGCACCTGTTTTCAAAGCTATTTGGAGGCTGAGGTGGGAGGATTGCTTGAGCCTGGGAGGTGGAGGCTGCAGTGAGCCAAGATCACGCCAGTGCACTCCAGCCTGGCTGACAGAGTGAGACTCTGTCTCAAAAGAAAAAAAAGAAACATCATGTACTTTGTTTGTCACATTTGTCTTTTAATACGACATTACGTGGCAATACCAATTCTGTTCCTTGAAGAGCTCCTCTTTAAGCTCCATCTGGGTGATGTCCCTGCTGCAGTCTTGTGCGGCAGTACTGTATCCTCTTGCTATGCCAGTGGCCTGTCACCGTGGCCAGCTGCCTATGCCAGAGTAGGTCCCAGGCCACTAGAGGGTGCACAGGAAGTTCTGCCTGATTTGTGTGAAAACAAGGATGTGTTAAGAGAGCGGAGATATGCCCAGTGCTGCGCCCATTTCAGTCACTGCTGGTTAGGTTCGGCATTTCCATGGAGGGCTGAACCTACTCACCCGACTGATGGGACCAGTGAAGGTGTGGTTCCTGACCCCTGACCCCTTAAATGTGCAGATGACACCCCAGATGTGATTCTTCACAAGTAATGTGAATGAAGTAGCCCTTTCAGGGCAGAGCCTAGCGTAATTCAACTGTGATCAGTGCTGGAAGAGAGCTCTGTAATTGCAAGTAGTATCCTTGTGATTTTCTTGACAGTGGCTGTTGGCCAGATTGGAAACTTCCTGGCTTACACGGCGGTCCCCACGGTCCTGGTAACCCCCCTGGGCGCCCTTGGAGTACCGTTCGGGTGAGAGCCAAGATTGTGTTTGGTATTTAATGTGTAGTGTAGATATAACAACTTTTCATTTTAAATGTTTCTGTTAAAGTAATAAGAGCAAAATTGTAATAGAAGATAGATCTTCAGGCCGGGCATGGTGGCTTACGCCTGTAATCCCAGCACTTTGGGAGGCCAAGGAGGGTGAATTATTTGAGGTCACGAGTTCAAGACCAGCCTGGCCAACATGGTGAAACCCTGTCTCTACTAACAATATGAAAAATTAGCTGGACATGGTGGCGACCACCTGTAGTCCTAGCTACTCGGGAGGGTGAGACACAAGAATTGCTTGAACCTGGGGGGCAGAGGTTGCAGTGAGTTGAGATGGCACCACAGCACTCCAGCCTGGGAGACAGAGCGAGACTCTGCCTTAAAAAAAAAAAAGAAGATAGATCTTCAGTATTCTACTCTATATCGTTTAATTTTATCCCTTCAAATGTAGTTCTGGGTAGTATTAACCCTTTTCTTAGATATTTAGTATATTTGAAACTGTCACTCATTTTTCCTGCTTATCAGTGAATCTGATGCTCTCATTCTCCTGGTCGTTGTCCTGGAGTACATCTTAGAGACTAGAGAGTCTTCTGACACCTTGGCAAGTTATTCTGAGAACTCATTAAGCAAAATGACTGAGTTGGTGTTTTATTGGGGTGCTTAGCATTCCTTGCTGGATGCCGGACAGTCCCCACCTCAGCCCAGGAAATTACAGAGGTTGGGATGAATAATACACGGCATCAATGGATGTGAAATAGGATTTATGACTGACGCAGTCAATAGCACATGGATTTTCTTAGGAGAAGGTCCCGGGTTTGGTTCTGAGTGAGACGAGTGAGGGGGACCTTTGGATTTTTATTGTAGTTAGGTGGTGGGGTGGGCTGGGGGGCGGTTTGCATGCTTAGGCCGGGCTGGCATGGAGTGAAGTTTTTGCCCATGCCAAGGGACTGAGGACTCTGGGAACTGAGGACTCCAGGGACCCAGTGTGTGCGCAGGCTTCTTTTTAAATTTTAATTTCATTTTATTTATTTTTTTAATTTTATTTCTCCATTTTAAATCATCTTTTTAATTGATACACATGAGTAAGCTTCCTATAAGGTTGCCCAGTTGTGGGGCAAAGGGGAAAGGGGGGAAATGGGAACTGGAGGGCTGCAAGCCATCAAACATTGCAGCTGGACTCTCTGTTTACTTACTGCGAAAATGATTGATGAGATACTTATTAAATAACATATATCCTCGTGTGAACCTATTTATATTCTGATTTGTCTTTGAAGAAATCATTAGAAATAAAAATAGGGTAGAAGAGAAATAAAATCCAAGTTTCTAACTCATGGATACATTGGTTTTCTGCTGTATTCCAGACAGATGCCCAAATCCTTGCAGAGAAGTGTGTCCATGATGGGTGTATTGAAGTTTACACCTTAGAGTCACGTAGGCATTAAGGTTCTGTGACCTAAATACCATGTTTTTCACATGCGACGCCTTGAGAATGTGTGTGTGGCACATTTTTCTCGTGAACACATACACTGCTATCATGTGTGGCTTGGTGTCCCTTTGTGTTTCGGATGGCTCTGAGGCGCTGGGAGGGCAAGAGTGTTCTCACTTTGGGAAACACTCCTCCAGCTTCTGTGACCCGTCCCCCTGAAAGATAATCAGGCAGATAAACAACCTGACCTGGTGATCTTGGCACGTGGCACATTGAATGCACATATACTAAAATGTTTTGCTCAGTTAATTTCCTTAGAACTGTTCTCATGCACTTTGATGATTAAGTCACTTCACCAGAAATGTTCACTGCTCCACATCTGCAGGTGTTACTCACTGTAGGAACCATGTCAGATGGTGTTCTGGATAAAAAGCCTGTCTTCAACTTGGAATCCCAGTAAGACCTTTTCTTTTAAACAGAATAAAACTAAAATTAATTTGGAAAAAAACAATCAAAGATGATTATCAAAGTGTGCATATATGTATGTATATATGAGTTTTTTTTTTGTTTTTTTTTTTGAGACGGAGTCTCGCTCTGTCGCCCAGGCTGGAGTGCAGTGGCACGATCTCGGCTCACTGCAAGCTCTACCTGCTGGGTTCATGCCCGGCTAATTTTTTTTGTATTTTTAGTAGAGACGGGGTTTGACCGTGTTGGCTGGGATGGTCTTGATCTCCTGACCTCGTGATCCGCCCGCCGTCCTCCCAGAGTGCTGGGATTACAGGCCTGAGCCACCACGCCTGGCCAATATGTATGTATATATGTATATTTTAAAAGCAGTTCTGTTCTTGATAATGGGATGGGGTTGCTGGAATTACATAGAAACAGAAATGAAAAGAATGTGGCACTGGAAAAATAAGTCTGTGTAGCAGTGAATAGAATAGAGAGCCCCCAAATAGGTTCATTTCTTTCTGTAATAGTGTAATGTATGATAAAGTAATCATCTGTACATGCTGTGTTTAGAAAGAGGTTTAAAAAACTTTTGGGAAATATTTTCAAATTACAGAAAGGAAACAGGATTAAGTATAACCAAAGCAATGTCCATCTCCCCTTACCCAGACACACCTGCTGCTAACATCTTACCCACTTGCCTCATCATACACTTTCTCTGTATCTGGGTATCTCAGTCTCAGCACTGTTGATGCTTGAAGCCAGATAACTCTTTGTTGAGGGAGCCATTCTGTGCATTGTGAGGTGTTTAGCAGCATCCTGGCCTTCACCTCCCAGATGCCAGTAGCACTCAACCTCCCCAAAATGTCTCCAGACACTGGCAGATGTCCCCTGCGGGGCAAACCACCCCTGGTCAAGAAGCACTGTTCTATATGAATATGATGTGATTTTTTTTTCCTGTTTTTAAAAAAAAATCCATTTTAGCATAAGTTATGATTCTTTACCCCTGAACACATCAATTAGTATTTTCTAAGAGTAGAGATATTCAGATTCTCTCCAAATAACCACAGTACAGTGATCAATTTCGATAAATTTAACCTTGTTATGATACATGTATCAAATCAACCTCCATATTCCAATTCTGACAATTGACCTGTTATGCCATTATTTTATGTCATTATCTTTTATACCGTTATTTTTCTTCTAGTACAAGATCTAGGCCAGGTGCAGTGTGATTCATGCTTGTAATCCCAGCACTTTGGGAGGCCAAGGCAGGTGGATCATTTGAACCCAGGGAGACCAGCCTGGCCAGCATGGCAAAACCCTGTCTCTACTAAAAATACAAAAATTATCCAGGTGTGGTGGCACACACCTGTAATCCCAGCTACTTGGGTGGCTGAGGGGCAGAGATTGCAGTGAATTGACATTGAACCACTGCTCCAGCCTGGGTGACAGAGCAAAACTCTGTCCCTCCCCCGCCCCCCAAAAAAACAAAGAAAAGATAAAGCTCATTAAAAAAACAACTATGAACTAATTCTCTTATGAATATAGATGGAGAAATTTTGAACAAAATACTAACCAGTTGGATCCAGCAATATATAAAAAGGATTATACAAGTGGGATTTATCCCAGAAATGCAAAGTAGATTTAGCATTGAAAATAAATTAGTGTAATATACCACAGCAATAGAATAATCACCATGTGATCATCTCAAAAGACACACAAAAATTATGTGGTACAATTCAATACTCTTTCATGACGAAAACTCTCAATATGCTAGGCATAGAAAATAACTTCCTAAACTGACAAAGGGCCTCTGTCAAAGTACCCCAGCTAACATCATACTTAATGGCACAAGGGTTGATGTTTTCCCCTTAAGATCAGGAAGAAAATAAGCTGCCTACTTTCACCTCATCTATTCATCATTGTACTGGATGTTATAGCCACAGCAATTAGGTAAGCAAACAAATTAAAAGGCATCCATATTGGAAAGGAAAGGAAGAATTTAATTGCCTTTATTGGCAGAAGACCTGATTTTTTTTTTTTTTTTTTTTTTTTTTTTTGAGACAGAGTCTCACTCTGTCACCAGGCTAGAGTTCAGTTGTGTGATCTTGGCTCACTGCAACCTCCACCTCCCGGGTTCAAGTGATTCTCCTTCCTCAGCCTCCCGAGTAGCTGGGACTACAGGCGCGTACCACCATGCCCAGCTAATTTTTGTATTTTTAGTAGAGACGGGGTTTCACCATGTTAGCCAGGATGGTCTTGATTTCCTGACCTTGTGGTCTGCCTGCCTCGGCCTCCCAAAGTGCTGGGATTACAGGTGTGAGCCACCGCACCCAGCCTTTTTTTTTTTTTTTTTTTTTTTCAGATGGAGTCTCACTCTGTCACCCAGGCTGGAGTGCAGTGGTGTGCTGTCGGCTCACTGCAACCTCGGCCTCCTGGGTTCAAGTGATTCTCCTGCCTCAGCCTCCGAGGAGCTTGGATTACAGGTGCCCACCACCACGCCCAGCTAATTTTTGTATTTTTAGTAGAGATGGGGTTTTGCCATGTTGGCTAGGCTAGTCTTGAACTCCTGACTTTAGGTGATCCACCCACTTTGGCCTCCCAAAGTGCTGGGATTACAGGCATGAGCCACCACACCCAGCAGAGGACCTGATCTTATATAGAGAGTCCTAAAGAATCACTAAGAAATTATTAGAACTAATAAGTTTAGCAAGGTCGATGGACACAAGATCACTATATAAAAATTACATCTGAGGCCGGGCGTAGTGGCTCACTCCTGTAATCCCAGCACTCTGGGAGGCTGAGACGGGAAGATCACCTGAGGTCAGGAGTTAGAGACCAGCCTGGCCAACATGGTGAAACCCCATCTCTACAAAAATACAAAAAAAAATCAGCCAGGTGTGGTGGCACATGCCTGTAGTCCCAGCTACTCAGGAGGCTGAGGCAGGAGAATTGCTTAAACCCAGGAGGTAGAGGTTACAGTGAGCCGAGATTGTGCCACTGCACTCCAGCCCAGGCAACAGAGTGAGACTCTGTCTCAAAAAAAAAAAAAAAAAAAAAAAATTACATCTGCCAGGCGCAGTGGCTCAGGCCTGTAATCCCAGCACTTTGGGAGGCTGAGGTGGGTGGATCACCTGAGGTAAGGAGTTCGAGATCAGCCTGACCAACGTGGTGAAACCCCGTCTCTCATAAAAATACAAAATTAGCCAAGCATGGTGGCGCATGCCTGTAATCCCAGCCACTCGGGAGGCTGAGGCAGGAGAATCGCTTGAACCCAGTAGGCAGAGGTTGCAGTGAGCCGAGATCGGGCCATTGCACTCCAGCCTGGGCAACAAAAGCGAAACTCCGTCTCAAAAAAAAAAAAAAAAATTACGGCTGGGCACAGTGGCTGATGCCTGTAATCCCAGCACTTTGGGAGGCTGAGGTGGGTGGATCACGAGGTCAGGAGATCAAGACCATCCTGGCTAACACGGTGAAACCCCATCTCTACTAAAAGAAATACAAAAAATTAGCCGGGCGTAGTGGCAGGCACCTGTAGTCCCAGCTACTCGGGAGGCTGAGGCAGGAGAATGGCGTGAACCCGGGAGGCGGAGCTTGCAGTGAGCTGAGATCGTGCCACTGCACTTCAGCCTGAGTGACAGAGCGAGACTGTGTCTCAAAGAAAAAAAAAAAAAATTGCATCTATATACAGTAGCAGTGAGCAAACCAAAAATGAAATTAAGAAAGCAATTTCATATGCAGTAGCACCAAAATGATGAAATACTTAAGAATAAATTTAACTGGCCAGGCACAGTGGCTTATGCCTTCAATTCCCACACTTTGGGAGGCCCAGGCAGGTGGATCACGAAGGGCACAAACAACAGAAGGAAAATAGATAAATTCGATGTCATCAAAATTAAAAACCTTTCTGCTTAAAAGGATGCCATCAATGAATTGAAAACTCGTGGGAGAAAAAATTTCAAAGTATATATCTGATAAGGGACTTGTAGTTAGAACACATAAAAACTCTTGCCGGTCGTGGTGGCTCACGCCTGTAATCCCAGCACTTTGGGAGGCCGAGGCGGGTGGATCATGAGATCAGGAGTTCGAGACCAGCCTGGCCAACATGGTAAAACTCCGTCTCTACTAAATACAAAAAATTAGCCTGGTGTGGTGGCACATGCCTGTAATCCCAGCTACTTGGGAGGCTGAGGCAGGAGAATTGTTTGACCTCAGGAGGTGGAGGTTCCATTGAGCCGAGATTGCGCCATTGCACTCCAGCCTGGGCACCAAGAGGGAAACTCTGTCTCAACAAAAGAAAACGAAACAGAAACTCTTACAGTGCATCAGTAAAAAGTCAGATAACCCAATTTAAAAATGGCACTGTCAGCCAGGCGCAGTGGCTCATGCCTATAATCCCAGCACTTTGGGAGGCGAGGCGGGTGAATCACTTGAGGTCAGGAGTTTGAGACCAGCCTGGCCAACATGGTGAAACCCCGTCCTTACTAAAAATACAAAAATCCCCCAGGGCATGGTGGCGGGCATCTGTAATCCCAGCTACTCGGGAGGCTGAGGCAGGAGAATTGCTTGAACCCGGGAGGCAGAGGTTGCAGTGAGTCGAGACTGCTCCACTGCACTCCAGCCTGGGTCACAGAGTGAGACTCTGTCTCAATAAATGAATGAATGAATGAATGAAAATGGCACTGTCCTCTGGTATTCCACAATGGAATAAGAGATGATTTGGCCTCGTGGCTCATACTGTCCACTTTCGTGCATGGCAACCCTTTCCCATCTTGGCATAGTCCACCCGTTGTCCGAGGCCAGTTCCAGGCCCACTTTTTGCCCTGTGAGCCCCCTGCATTTCTGGTTTCTCCTTTTCCAGGCAGCTACTCGGTGGAGCTTCTCTATTTAACATCTAGTTGTGTATTCATGTCTTTTGTTGTTTCTTTCAGTGATGTTGCTTATTTCCCCAATGACACTGTTGGGAGCTTCTTAAGAACAGGCTGTCTAGGGACAAGGATGTGAAGTGGTACAAGGGAAAAGTAGGCCGTTTAGGACCTGTGGGTGTGTCATGACCGTGCTTGTATCTCTTGTTAGCTTTGTGGCCTTAGGTTCAATGCTGACCCTTTCTGAGGCTCAAGTTTCCTTATCTTTAAAATAGGTATTAAAGGAAGTAATCCGGTCCATACCTGAGCCTGGTATGCCCTCCTCCCGGACGTTCCTGTTTTCTGATCGTCTTCAGCACAGACATGAGTAAAGTGACAATGACCAGTCCTGTGACTTACTGAGGGCAAGGTGTTCCAATTCAGATTGTATACTGATAATTACACAGGGAAATAAGAGAAGAAACAAGTTAGAAGCCTGGAGATTATAGATGTTTTTGAAGAATACATTTTTTTGCATTAATAATGTGACCAGTTTTTAAAAGTTTTCAGTATTAGAGGAAATAGCCACCCCATACTACTTCTACTACTGCAATTACTATTAGCATTTTTATTTTTTCTTTTGTTTGTGCATTTTTCACTTAATTTATTTTGTTTTTATCATGCATTACTTATAATTATTTTGACAGTTTTTGTACCCTACTTTTCCATGTAGCATAGATATTAGTATTTTTGATTGGTTCCTTTTATAAGAAAGGAAGCATTACTTTTATTTTTGGTCAGTCATAAAACTTTTTATACTCTGGTGTATTTTATATGTGCTGACATAGTAATATAGTGGTGTAAATTATGTGTATCATTAACTACGTAGTGGTTATACATGGAATTGGTGTGAAAATCCTGGCCAGGCATGGTGGCTCACACCTATAATTCCAGCACTTTGGGAGTCCAAGGCAAGAGGATCGTTTGAGCCCAGGAGTTTGAGACTTGCCTGGGCAATCTAGTGAGACCCAGTCTCTACACAAAATTTTTAAAAAATTAGCTGGGTGTGGTGGCATGCACCTGTAGTCCCAGCTACTCCGGTGGCTGAGGTAGGAGGATCACTTGAGCCCAGGAGTTCAAGCTTGTGGTGAGCTGTGATTGCACCACTGCACTCCAGCCTGGGCAACAGAGTGGGAGGTGGTCTCTTAAAGGGAAAAAAAGAAGAAAAAGAAAATGGTTTTTCTAGATAAAATATCTGCTGTTAGAAGAAAGGTCAGGTAGTTTGGTTTAAACTTTAATGATTTCTCTTTTTTCAATAAAGGTCCATTTTAGCTTCCTATCTCCTGAAGGAAAAGCTCAACATCTTGGGCAAGTTGGGGTGCCTGCTAAGCTGTGCAGGCTCCGTCGTGCTGATTATCCACTCCCCAAAGTCTGAGAGTGTGACAACTCAGGCTGAGCTGGAGGAAAAGCTGACCAATCCAGGTAATTCCTTTCTAGCAGCACTGCCAAGAAAGTTTGCAGTAGGAGTGCCAACTTTTTTAACCACGTCTTCAAATTGGATGCTTCCTGGCAGGGCAGAGGAACCGTGTGTCCACCCTGATCTGTTACTGTAGATCTGTGTTCTCTGGGAACGTGCATCAGTGGGCTGTGCTCGCAGGCTAGCCCTCTGCCCTCACCCTCCCGCCTGATCCTCAGGCCCTGCGGGGAGCCTCCGTGGCCTGGTATTCCTTCGGGTTCTCTTCTGGGGCCTTGTGCATGGGCGCCTTCCCTTCCCACAGTGGCTCCCCTTGGGCCACCCTCCCAAGTCTGACTGCCACCCGCCCCTCCCCACATACCTTTCCTGGTGTACCCTGCCCACTCTATCTCCACCTCAGCACTTCACTCCCTCCAGCGTGAAGCTCTGTGAGAACAAAGACCTGGCATCTCTTAAGTTTAGATTCCTCATATAGCCCTGTTTATATATCTTTTGACATAATTTCTTTTCTTTTCTTTTTTTTTTTTTTGGAGACGGAGTCTCGCTCTGTCACCCAGGCTGGAGTGCAGTGGCGCGATCTCAGCTCACTGCGAGCTCCGCCATTCTTCTGCCTCAGCCTCCTGAGTAGCCGGGGACTACAGGCGCCTGCCACCATGCCCGGCTAATTTTTTTTGTATTTTTAGTAGAGATGGGATTTCATCATGTTAGCCAGGATGGTCTTGATCTCCTGACCTCGTGATCCGCCCACCTCGCCCTTCCAAAGTGCTGGGATTACAGGCGTGAGCCACCATGCCCGTCCTTTTTTTATTTTGATAAATACACTAAAAACTACTATCTACGTGATTACAACAGACTTAAAGTATAGATTTCACTTTAAGTAGACCACCCTGTGTTGCTTACCAACAAGTTTAGGCAGGTTCCAGCACAAAACTGCCTCCACATCAGTTTGCTGGTTTACATGTCCACACTCGCTGGTTTGCATGTCCATACTCGCTGGTTTGCATGTCCACACTCCCTGGTTTTCATATCCACACTCGCTGGTTTTCTCGTCCACACTCACTGGTTTTGTCCACACTCGGTGGTCTGCATGTCCACACTCGCTGGTTTTCTTGTCCACACTCACTGGTTTTCTTGTCCACACTGGCTGGTTTGCATGTCCACACCCTGGTTTGCATGTCCACACCCTGGTTTGCAAGTCCACACTCGCTGGTTTGCATGTTAACACCTAGTTTGCATGTCCACACTCACTGGTTTTCTTGTCCACACTCGCTGGTTTTCTTGTCCACACTCTCTGGTTTGCATGTCCACACTTGCTGGTTTGCATAGCCAGCAGTTCCCAGCCCTCTCAGGTCCATTTGTGATGTTGGAATGGATTTCATGGAAAACACAACCTCCTTATACACACAAGTTCAAACCATCAATTTAATGCCCTAACTGTAATATAAAGGAGAAATACCAGGACAATACTTTAAAACAAAACATCCCTTTCAATATGTAAATGCTCAGGTCCCACTATAAGAGAAGACCTATTGAAGCTGGCCGACCCCACACCTTGTGAGGAGTGGTTGAGAATCTGGTAGCTGCAGATATAGACTGACGTGGGGGTGTAATGTTATTGACTGGGACACTTGAGGTCTTGCTATCAACAAAATGATCCTCAGATGGAGCATAACTCTTAATGAAGTTTTGATCAAAGAACAATCCTCCCTCAATTTACATGGAAGTGACATGTCTGAAGAATTCAGCATATATTAAATCCATGCAAAAATTACTTTGTTTCATACATAAAATAGTTTCTAGGCTCTGATTATTATAGGCATATTTTTCAGTTACAAGTCCGAGGAGACATTCAGCAGTTGTGACGAGAATGGGATGATTTTTGATGGGGGTGGGGGTTGCTGTCTGCACATGCCTCTGCCCACTGGATGCAGCCCCCAATCATTGCAAAACCCACAAACACCCCCACAGCTTAAAGTCCTCCCTCCTGTCCCCTGCCTTACCCCTGCCCCCTGGATTCCCAGGTGCTTTTTTGAAACCTCGGAGCATCTCCATTCACTTGTATTGTTAAGAGAATGTTTCTAGGCCGGGCACAGTGGCTCACGCCTGTAATCCCAACACTTTGGGAGGCCGAGGACGGCGGATCACCTAAGGTCAGGAGTTCGAGACCAGCCTGGCCAACATGGCGAAACCCCGTCTCTGCTAAAAATATAATAGCCAGGCGTGGTGGCGGGTGCTTATGTATTCCCAGCTACTCAGGAGGCTGAAGCAGGAGAATCGCTTGAACCTGGGAGGTGGAGGTTGCAGTGAGCAGAGATCGTGCTATTGCAATCCAGCCTGGGCAACAAAGAGCAAAACTCCATCTCAAAAAAACAAAACAAACAACAAGAAAAAAAGAGAATGGTTCCAATAGAGGACCATGTAAACATTTAGGAGCTGTAAATGGTTTTTTTTTTTTTTTTTTTTTTTTTTTTGAGACGGACTCTTGCTCTGTCGCCCAGGCTGGAGTGCAGTGGTGTGATCTCGGCTCACTGCAACCTCTGCCTCCCGGGTTCAAGCGATTCTCCTGCCTCAGCCTCCTGAGTAGCTGGGATTACTGGTGCATGCCACCACGCCTAGCTAATTTTTTGTATTTTTAGTGGAGAACAGGGTTTCACCAAGTTAGCCAGGATGGTATTGATCTCCTGATCGGCCCACCTCGGCCTCCCAAAGTGCTGGGATTACAGGTGTGAGCCATTGTGCCCTTCTGTAAATTTTTTTTTTTTTTTCTGAGATGGAGTCTTGCTCTGTCACCCAGGCTGGAGTACAGTGGTTTGATCTCGGCTCACTGCAACCTCCACCCCCTAGGTTCAAGTGATTCTCCTGCCTCAGCCTCCCAAGTAGCTGGGATTACAGGCGCGCTGTAATTTTTGTACTTTTAGTAGAGACGGGGTTTCACCATCTTGGCCAGGCTGGTCTTGAACTCCTGACCTCATGATCCACCTGCCTTGGCCCCCCAAAGTGCTGGGATTACAGGCATGAGCCACCGCGTCTGGCTAACCCGGCTGTAAATGTTTTAACAGTGAAAATGATGGGAATACTTTTGTGGAATGAAATCAGTGGGTCTGGTAAATTCAAGCCAGAGCCCACATGCTCCCCAGGGCTGTGCCGCAGTAGAGGCCGGTGGCGGGTGGCGGGTGGGGGCCCGGGTGCTGCCCCAGTCCACCTCCTGGGTTGCGGCTGCTAGGCGGTGGCTCCGGGTGACTGTGTGCTGTCTGTGTTCCAGTGTTTGTGGGCTACCTGTGCATCGTGCTGCTCATGCTGCTGCTGCTCATCTTCTGGATCGCGCCGGCCCATGGGCCCACCAACATCATGGTCTACATCAGCATCTGCTCCTTGCTGGGCAGTTTCACCGTGCCTTCCACCAAGGGCATCGGGCTGGCGGCCCAAGACATCTTGCATAACAACCCGTCCAGTCAGAGAGCCCTCTGCCTGTGCCTGGTACTCCTGGCCGTGCTCGGCTGCAGCATCATCGTCCAGTTCAGGTACATCAACAAGGCGCTGGAGTGCTTCGACTCCTCGGTGTTCGGGGCCATCTACTACGTCGTGTTTACCACGCTGGTCCTGCTGGCCTCAGCCATCCTCTTCCGGGAGTGGAGCAACGTGGGCCTGGTGGACTTCTTGGGGATGGCCTGTGGATTCACGACCGTCTCCGTGGGGATTGTCCTTATACAGGTGTTCAAAGAGTTCAATTTCAACCTTGGGGAGATGAACAAATCTAATATGAAAACAGACTAGATTGCAATAGGAGCTTGGATGGTTCGAGGAATAGGCATTGGAGGTGGTTTCTGGCCGTGATTGGATGTGAAGTAGAAGAGGTCCTCGATCATGGTGTTAGAATTGACTGGATAGTAACAGGTGGTCTGGTGGATAGCGGGGAGCATGGCTCAGCACCAGAGCAGAGGCCCAGCCAGCCCTCTGCAGCCCAAACGTCCCCAACGGTTGCCTGGCACCATCTCTCTCTGATGAGACGAATCTCATTTTCATTTCCATTAACCTGGAAGCTTTCATGAATATTCTCTTCTTTTAAAACATTTTAACATTATTTAAACAGAAAAAGATGGGCTCTTTCTGGTTAGTTGTTACATGATAGCAGAGATATTTTTACTTAGATTACTTTGGGAATGAGAGATTGTTGTCTTGAACTCTGGCACTGTACAGTGAATGTGTCTGTAGTTGTGTTAGTTTGCATTAAGCATGTATAACATTCAAGTATGTCATCCAAATAAGAGGCATATACATTGAATTGTTTTTAATCCTCTGACAAGTTGACTCTTCGACCCCCACCCCCACCCAAGACATTTTAATAGTAAATAGAGAGAGAGAGAAGAGTTAATGAACATGAGGTAGTGTTCCACTGGCAGGATGACTTTTCAATAGCTCAAATCAATTTCAGTGCCTTTATCACTTGAATTATTAACTTAATTTGACTCTTAATGTGTATATGTTCTTAGATTAGAATAATGCAACTTCGAGTATGCTTTAATATTTCAATATTCAAGTTACAAATGTATAAGGCAGTTAGAAATAATACAGTCACATGTCACTTAATGATAGGGAAACATTCTGAGAAATGCATTGTAAGGTGACTTTATTGTGTGAACATCATGGAGTGCACTTATACAAACCTAGATGGGACACCTATGACCCACCCAGGCCAGATGGTACAGCCTGTTGCTCCTGGGCCACACACCTGTACAGCATGTGACCGCACTGAATACCGCAGGCAATTGTAACACAGTGGTGAGTATTTGTGTTTACAAACATAGGAAAGGTACAGTAAAACTATGGTATTACAATGTTATGGGACCACCGTCATGTAAGTGGTATGTCTTTGACAGAAACATGGTTACGTGGTTCATGACTGTATATTCACTGGAAGATAGTCAAGACTAAAGACACATTAGAGCAAATTGACCCCTTTAACATGTGATTATTGTCCAATTAAAGACAGTTGATTTAAGTAGCATGAGGTATTATTTTATTTGTATTCGATCTGTGTTACCTGGGATCCAGTATCAAATATATCCACATTCTTTATCAGCAAGCATTCATGGCCATTCAGAAGAAATAAATTAGGTAACTTGATAATAAGGCTAAGTGGGAGAGTACCTGTTCAATAGCTCATATATCGAGTACCCTGTCATACAGGAACAAGTTAAAGGACACAATTGAGGTTAGGCTAGCTTCTACAAATTGCAATATGCAGTTTTTGAAAGATTTTCTAACAAAAAGCCAATAAATGTAGCCATCTCCTTGTTGTTTGCAATGGCAGAGCATCCTAGAGTTCCTCAGCTAACCTCTCATTATGTGTCTTAAATGCAAAAGAGCCATTAATTATGCCAGTATTTGAATCAAAGAGGTCATTCTCTGTCTATAGTGTTCCCATCCATGTGTTCCAAATGGGAGCATAGCATGAAGTGATGCACATATTTCACCACGGTATCATGTACTTCATGGCCAGTGTTTTATCTCAGCAGGGAACTACGCCAAGTTGAAAGATGGGGTTGGGTAAAGTAGATTAGGTGAAGTAGAACATAAAATTGAATAGTACCCAATTAAAGTTCCTCAGTAAGAAAAAAAATGTGTTTTTGTAGGCAAAAAGAACATTTCTAAAGTCTCAAGGAATAGCTTCCTAAAGTGTTGAGTAAAGAGGCTAAATAAAATGAGACTAGTTTAATATAGAGAGAAAAATACCTTTATGGAGTAAACGTGTACATGATGATCATGGGTTGTCAGTGATTTGTGAACTGAGAGCAGCAACAACATTATTTTTTAAAAATCTTAAATCCTCTCAATGGATGGTTAACAAATGCTCAAAGTCCATTACTCTTTTTATTGGCTCTTGCAGGTTTTGTGTTTTATCATCAGTGCTTTTAGAAATGCAGGCCTTAACTTACTGAACTGAACTTTCTGAAAACGTAATGTAGCAGTATCAATATACTTTTGGGCATAAAAATAGTTTCCTAGGTAAGGGGTGTGAGATATTCAAAGAATACATGTGGCTAACAAGTGTAATGAGAAAGTTCATGTGTCACATGAAAATGATCATGTTTGTGTTGCTACAGCTTTTGTGGGAAATTTAGTTTAAAGGCAGCTCTTGGTGTACCTTAGTATATTTTAATCCACAATTATACCATTGATACTGAGAGGTGATACCCGATGATCTTCTCTATAATATTCTTAGAGTAAAACAAAATCTCAAAAGTATTAATAGCTCTTCTACCCTTGAAGGTGACTGGTCCTGGGACAGTTAGAATCTTTCAGGTTTACCTCTGTTCAGCAGATACTTCAGTAGGATACATAGCTTTTCTTCCAGTGAAACAAAGTTCATATCATCCATTGTTTTTCAAGCACGTGACACCAGCCTCAAAGTAAATGACATGACCAGTGGTTGAACAGTCTAATTTTCAAATTTAATATAGAGCATATAACTTCTGATTTGATAGTATTTATTTTAAAAAATTATGTTTTCATCATTCATTTGAAAATGAAAAAGCCCCAAAGTGAGAACTTTGGGGGAGGGCCTAGAACATGGATAGATCTCTTAGTGGTCTTTCCAAAAGTACATGTACTTGAAATATTTTCATTATCATACTATTCTTTGAAAAAAAAGATGCTTACTGTATACTTGTTTTCAAGCATCCTCTAAAATCAAAGGTTTTGATCACAATATGCAGATTTCTCTTGATAGATACTTAAATAGGCTATTTCTCTCCTCTTCTTGGGCAATGCCTTGTTTTCTCCTCTGAATATTTGCATTTGAAAGGATTGCTTCCTGTTCTGCTCATTGATCAAAGGTAGGGCCAATTAAGGATTCTAACCCTAACCCAGCACCACAAAGCCCCCCTGGAGCATCTTCCCGGCTGGCAGGACCATGCCATCTCTGTGGAGAAGGTGCTGGGGAGGGAAGTCCTTCCAGTGCCACATGGAGTGAGGCCCTGCCCATGCTGGGGACTTTGGGGAGGAATTTGGTATTCTGGTGGCCTTGCTCAGCTCTCATTGAGATCTTTTCCTATCAGAATGTTAGTGAATATACTTCGCAGCTCTTTGTTCAGCAATAAGGAATATTCTTTCAATTCCTGCTCTTCAAGCCAATTTACTACACCCAGTTGTCTTTCCAGAAGTTCATCCCAGCGGTAATATGTTGGTGTTTGTTCTTCTTTGGATTTCACATCTGTTTTCTGGTAGAAGTGAGCACTGTTCACTTGTGCAGTCGTCTTATTTTCCTTCTTCCTAGATGACTCAGCTCTTTGTAAATGTTGTGCTCAACTTCTAGGGGCCAGTTCTAGACTTTGGAGATGCAGTGTCTCCCAGGTGTGCACGGACACCTGGTCCGTGGAAACAGGTGTGATGGGCACAGGCTGCTGCCCTTCTGTCTGGTCGGGGGATTCCTCTTCTTCAAGCTGCTCAGCTAACCCAGAAGAGGGGAGAGAGTACTCCGGTGGTTCCCAGAGCCCCTCCCGTTGTGCCGCTTCGACCTGACACCTGCTCGATGCTGACTTAGGCTTCCTGCCACCAAGCAGGAAACTAGAAAGAGAACATTTCAGTGTAAGGTCTGTTCCCGACAGCATGGATTAGCTTCCGTGTTCTGAAGTTGTTCTTTTCATGGTGTCTGACACCGAGGGCGTTGTTCGTCCATCAGGCGGGATTGGATGGAGTCTTGGTGTTTTGCCTTCTCAGGGACCAAAAATGTATCATTGACTCCTTAACAGTGACCTTCCTCCCAAGGACATATCCGTGTTCATTTTTCATAGGTTTTACTCATATTCATAGGTAGATTCTGTTAATGTGAGTTGGAAAGAAAAGACCAATTTGTACACCAGTCACACCACAAGACAGTTTATCATATAAAATACCTCAATTTTTTGTATTCCTCATTTCCACCTCACAATTGTACTGGTGATGAATTTTAAGGGTCTGTCCTTTAGCTTATAGGTGATGTTTCACATCTGGCCAGATTCTTATACCTCCATTGTATACTTGAAAAGGTTCAGAATTACAGGAACAGCAGTGAGAATTTGGCCCACTACCACGACTCATTTGTTTCATTCACATTCCTCACGTGCAACAACATAATTATATTTTAAGAAAATGTAACTTTGTTACATCAAAATATGTTGTCTAGTAAAAAGTTGATATTCAGTAGAACAAGGATCATGTAAATAAACATCTATTTCACATGTACCCAAAAGCATTTAAAAAGCAGAATCCAGGGCCCAGAGCATGAGCCAGGGAGGAGGATGTTTTTCTTCTTTTCTCTATTTTTCCCTAAATTGTGCAAACATAGGTGAGTCTCTTAACCTTTCTGTGCCTCAGTTTTTCTACCTCTAAAGGGGTGGGATGGTTCTTCAAATTGTTTCTAAAACACCGGCACTTTCAGCAGTGTTCTGGTGGCCTGAGATGAGAGCACCGTGTTCAGAAGTGCCTGGGAGTGGCACAGTGGAAACTCCGCTTGCACGGACCATGGAGTCTGCTCAGGACCATGCTGTAGGACACACAGCCTCATGCGCTGAGAAAGCAAAGGAAGTGCTGGGTGTAAAGTTTGCATGATTCCATGAAGCTTTAGTTTTCCTTTTTTTGTTTTAAAAGAAAGGGTTTTATATGTTCTATTGTAAAATATGGAAATTAAACAGGGACTTCAGAAAGCCGCACAGAAAGATCACCTTCCGATGGTGTGATGTGCTCCTGACATTCGGCCGAGGTCTGTATTCTGAAAAAGATTTAATGGCCTGTGAAACACGTGGATTCTGTTGCACTGGATTTGTAATAAATGACGCTGAACTTCCTGCTTCCAAGCAGCTCAACCCTGATGCTGAACTGACACCAGGCGAATGTCAGGGCTCCCAAACCACTAGTGCCAAAGGGTCATGTTGAAAAGTTCAGAATATTTATTTGTCAGAATATAATAATTGCCCCCCACCTTAGTATTTTTGCACTTTACAGAAATTTAGATACTGTTTTTCAGTGGCTTGAGCGTTTTGCCTTTTCAAAGGATAACTATTATTTTCTTGAAAATGGAATATAATCATGAGAGGAAGAAGATGTAAAAAATGTCAAATGTTGATTGGTTGTGTAAAAGTTTTGTCATAGACATGTATTGGGGAGCTTCCAATTAGCATACATAGACACATGTGTCAGTGGCCAAGACCTGCTTATATTTTGCTTTATAGATGTAGTCATAGCATGTTGTTATTGCCTCATGTAAATAAAAAGGCTATTAAGTTTTCCAGTAATATTTATTAATCTGTATGTGTTTTAAAATAAAATAACTTATTTCTAGCTGAACATTTGTTGATTTTTTTTTTTCCCTTTACTTGAAATGCTTATGTAGTCTCAGGTTCCAGATCATCCCAGTTCCTCCCATTTTTCCTATTCTCTTTTTAGAAATGAGTAGCCTAGGCTGGGTGCAGTGGCTCATGCCTGTAATCGCAGCACTTTAGGGGGCTGAGGCGGGTGGGACACTTGAGGCCAGGAGTTTGAGACCAGCCTGGTCAACATGGTAAAACCCCATCTCTACTAAAAAATAACAAAAATTAGACAGGCATGGTGGTGCACATCTGTAGTCCCAGGTACTCAGCAGGCTGAAGCAGGAGAATCACTTGAACTTGGGAGGCAGAGGTTGCAGTGACCGAGATCACAGCACTGCACTCCAGCCTGGACAACAGAGCGAGACTCCATCTCAAAAAAAAAAAAGACAGAAATGACTAGCCTCTAGATCTCTATAACAATGTAGAAAATGTCTACCTGTGGGCCAGGTGTGGTGGCTCACACCTGTAATCCCAGTGCTTTGGGAGGCTGAGGCGGGCGGATCACCTGAGGTCGGGAGTTTGAGAGTAGCCTGACCAACATGGAGAAACCCTGTCTCTGCTAAAAATACAAAATTAGCCAGAGGTGGTGGTGCATGCCTGTAATCCCAGCTACTCAGGAGGCCGAGGCAGGAGAATCACTTGAACCTGAGAGGCAGAGGTTGCAGTGAGCCGAGATCACACCATTGCACTCCAGCCTGGGCAACAAGAGCAAAACTCCGTCTCAAAAACAAAACAAAACAAAACAAAAAAGGCCAGGTGCGGTGGCTCACGCCTATAATCCCAGCACTTCAGGAGGCCAAGGCAGGCAGATCACGAGGTCAGGAGTTCGAGACCAGCCTGGCCAACATGGTGAAACCCCGTCTCTACTAAAAATACAAAAATTAGTTGTGCGTGGTGGTGTGTGCCTGTAATCCCAGCTACTCCAGAGGCTGAGGCAGGAGAATCACTTAAACCCGGGAGGTGGAGGTTGCAGGGAGCCGAGATCGTGCCACTGCACTCTAGCCTGGACGACAAGAGCGAAACTCCGTCTTGGAAAAAAAAAGAAAAAGAAAAAGAAACCGTCTACCTGTGCATCTACCTTAGGGAGCAAATCCATGATGTATGCAGAAATTCCCTGTCCTGCGACTGTCTCTTGATCCAATGAAGTGATAGTATTAAATAAAACCAGCTCTATTTTAATATGTTAGTACCTTTGACATGTTTTTGAGTTGTATAACATATCATTTTACATTTTTAGCCCATAGAAAATGAGACAATTATAACGCATTTTCATACTTCAAGCATCATTAGAAATCTTGTTGCTGATCTTCTTTAGTGTCCTATAATTTTCTTTGTTTTGGTTTTTTTTTTTTTTTTTGAGAGACAGGGTCTCACTCTCTTACAGTCATAGCTCACTGCAGCCTCAAACTGCTGGGCTCAAGCGACCCTCCTGCGTCAGCCTCCCCGGTAGCTAGGACTACAGGCCTGTGCCTCCACACCTGGGTAATTTTTTAATTTTTTTGTAGAGACAGGGTCTAGTTATGTTGCTCAGACTGGTGTCCTATAAGTTATTTTATCAAATGAGAAAAAATGAGTAAGATTTTTTTCTTAGTCTCTATCCCAAAAGATTTAATTATTCACATTTTGATCAAAGTATACTTATACAGAAAACAAGAACAAACATTTTATGAAATCACCAAATGCATCTATGGATAACTCCAGATAGGTTTTTGGGGCTGTGAAGTGTATTAATGCCAAATTCTGCTGTCATTGAACAAAAGCTTGCATTGGTTGGTTACTACTATAGAGTAGTTTGTGCTGGCTGCTAGCCAAGCCTTCCCTGCAAGGGACTTGTTCTAGAATTTCTGTGTTGCTTAGTTACATCCATCCCATCCATCTGATGACCCTTCGTTTTGACATTGTCAGCATGTTTGTTGTAGTATTAGTCACACTTACTTGTTCACCATTAGTTTGAATCTCACATGATAGTTTTAAAAAGGTTTTTAGTTGGAGAGGTGAGACACAGACAAGAAACAGATATAAAAGATCTAGGTACCTCTGCAGCCAGGCACAGTGGCTCACGCCTGTAATCCCAGCACTTTCGGAGGCCAAGGCCGGTGGATTACCTGAGGTCAGGGGTTTGAGACCAGCCTGACCAACATGGAGAAACCCCCGTCTCTACTAAAAATACATAATTAGCTGAGCGTGGTGGTGCACGCCTGTAATCCCAGCTATTCGGGAGGCTGAGGCAGGAGAATTGCTTGAACCCGGGAGGCAGAGGTTGCGGTGAGCTGAGATCACGCCACTGCACTCCAGCCTGGGCAGCAAGAGCGAAACTCCGTCTAAAAAAAAAAAGATCTAGGTACCTCTCTATTACCAGTCCAAAGAGGACAGGATTCATTCCAGCCGAGCACATGAGAAAGAGGTGTGGAACTGGATGGTGGCAAGCAGGACAGCGGTGGTGGTGACCAAGTAAACATAATGAGTGTGAAAATCACTGAGATGATGGACCAGAGGGTGGAGAGAAGGTCAGACCAGGTTGCTCATCTATAACACTGAATCTGTTTTATTTTTGACAAAGACATTGGGGGGATCCCAGCATCTTCTCCTTCCCTTAATTTGGCATACTTATTGTGTTAGTTTTTTATTACGGCTCTTCACAAGTTACATACCTTGTAGCTTAAAACAACACACGCGTATCATCTTACAATTCTGGAGGTTAGAAGTTCCACACAAGCTTTGCTGGGCTAAAATCAAGGTGCAGACAGGATTACTTCCCTCTGGAGGCTCCTGGGAAGAGTCTCATCCCTGCTCTTTTGGTTTCTAGAGGCCGCCTTTGTATCTTGCCTCGTGGCTCCTTCCTCCATCTTTGAAGCCAGCAATGTCATCTCTCTCGCCACTCATCCATCATCATAGCTTACTCTCTGACTCTGACACTCCTGTCACCCTCTTGGAAGGACCTTCATGACTGCTTTGGGCCCACATGGACAATCCAGGGTCAGCTCCCTCTCTCAAGATCCTTAGTTGCCTCTGCAGAGCCCCTTTTGCCATGGAAGGTGGCACAGTCACAGGTTACAAGGTGAGGACGTGGATATCTTTGGGCTTTCTGCTTACCACATCCACTTACCATTTTACCAAGTGAGGCAGTTCACAAAAGCCAACTCCTGGCTTTTAATCACTATCCCACTGTTCTACCTCAATTCACCTTGAGTTATTCCTATATTTTTCAGAAAGTTTCTCCCTGCTCACCCCCAACAAATGTTTTGGAAAATGCCCTACTACATTTGTAGGTCATTGATGGCCTTGAATAAACCAAATAATATTAATTGAAAAGTATTCATATAATAGAAATGCTTTAAAATGGCAGGGAATTATTGGGGAACCTGCCCCGATAGTCACGTAGGTTCTTTTCTATTTTCCCTAAGCATCAGCCGGTTTGAGAAATAAAGGGACAGAGTACAAAAGGGAGAAATTTTAAAGCTGGGCGTCCGGGGGAGACATCACATGTTAGTAGGTTTTGTGATGCCCCCCAAGCCACAAAACCAGCAAGTTTTTATTAGGGACTTTCAAAAGGGGAGGGAGTGTGCGAATAGGTGTGGGTCACAGACATCAAGTACTTTACAAGGTAATAGAATATCACAAGGCAAATGGAGGCAGGGTGAGATCACAGGACCACAGGACGGGGCAAAATTAAAATTGCTAATGAAGTTTCGGGCACCATTGTCATTGATAACATCAGGAGACAGGGTTTTGAGAGCAACCGGTCTGACCAAAATTTATTAGGCAGGAATTTCTTCTTCCTAATAAGCCTGGGAGCACTATGGGAGACTGGGGTCTGTTTCACCCCTGCAGTCTACAGACCATAAAAGACGGCCATGCCCAGGGGGGCCAGTTTAGAGACCCACCCCCAGGCATGTATTCTCTTTCCCAGGGATGTTCCTTGCTGAGAAAAAGAATTCAGCGATATTTCTCCCATTTGCTTTTGAAAGAAGAGAAATATGGCTCTGTTCTGCCGGGCTCACTGGTGGTCAGAGTTTAAGGTTAGCTCTCTTATTCCCTGAACAATTGCTGTTATCCTGTTCTTTTTTCAAGGTGCCCAGATTTCATATTGTTCAAACACACATGCTCTACAATTTGTGCAGTTAACTCAATTATCACATGGTCCTGAGGCGACATACGTCCTCCTCGGCTTACGAGATGACAGGATTAAGAGATTAAAGTAAAGACAGGCATAGGAAATCACAAGAATATTGATTGGGGAAGTGATAAGTGTCCATGAAATCTTCACAATTTATGTTTAGAGATTGCAGTAAAGACAAGCATAAGAAATTATAAAAGTATTAATTTGGGGAACTAATAAATGTCCATGAAATCTTCACAATCCACGTTCTTCTGCCATGGCTTCAGTCGGTCCCTCCCTTTGGGGGTCCCTGACTTCCCGCAACAGGGAATGCCACTATTCATTTTGGAAGGACAAAGGGCAATTTTAACTAGTGATAGGGGTTGAGGTAAAGAAAAAATGATCATCTGCTTTGCTGTTTTGATGCTTCTGTTGTAACAAAACCAAAACATACAAGAGTAATTGGGGAACAATTTATACATAAGAAAACTATTTGATTTCCTAATACATGATTTTTAAAAATACTGTTTTAAAGCTGTTGAAGTCTTGTCATTGTTACAGAAGCACAGGCCAGACTTCTTGCTTCTGTGCCTCTGTAACAATGACAAGATTTCAACAGCTTTATTGGGGTATAATTGACATATAATAAACTGCACATATATAAAATGTGTGATTTGGTAAGTTTTGACAAGTGTCTTATGATGAAAACATTGCCATAAACAAAACACCGAACATCCCCATCACACCAAAGTTTCTTTTTGACCCACTGTAATCCCTTCACCCTCCTTGCCTCCTCTACTCCTAGGGGCCCACTCATCTGCTTTCTGTAACTATACATGGGCTTCCATTTCCTAGGCTTTTATATAAATGTGATCGTTGAGTACACACTGTTTTTTTGGTCTGCTTGTTTCACTTACTAATTATTTTGAGACTCAGCTATGTTAAGGCATGTATCAATAGTTCATCCCCCTGCCTTTTTTTTTTTTTTTGAGGCTTTTTTTTTAGGAGTTTTGCTCTTGTTCCCCAGGCTGGAGTGCAATGGTGCGATCTCAGCTCACTGCAAGCTCCGCCTCCCGGGTTCCCGCTGTTCTCCTGTCTCAGCCTCCCGAGTAGCTGTTACTATAGGTGCCGCCACCACCACACCCAGCTAATTTTTGTAATTTTAGTAGAGACGGGGTTTCACCGTGTTAGCCGGGATGGTCTCAATCTCCTAACCTCGTGATCCGCCCATCTCGGCCTCCCAAAGGGCTGGGATTACAGGTGTGAGCCACCGCACCCGGCCTGCAAGTATTTTTATGGATACATTTCTGTTGAGTAAATACTCAGGAGTAGAACTGCCAGGTCATTTGGTCGGTGTATGTTTAACTTTTTAAGAAACTGTCAACCAATTTTCCAAGGAAATTGTCCCATTTTACAATTCCACCAGTAGTGTATGAGAAGGAGTTAGAGTTTTAAAACCTTAAAAATATCTCATGACAACTGCTTGAACACTCAGAGTATACAAGATGTACAACATCACGGGCTGGAGAAGTGATGTGGGCATGTAAGAAGCCTGCAGCATATTAGCAAGGTATATATAGACTTATAAAGACAATGCACTGTGCAGTGTCGGGGGAGGTGTCCGGTGGGAGGTCCAAATAATGACAGAAAGCTGATTAGATGAGGTGGAGCTCCAGCTGGCAGAAAGGAGTGACAAGCAAATTTGTTCGTTAGGTTAAATTAACATATCGACACCTAAGCATTCCTGTTCATGTGAACAAACCACTACTTTATTACTCATCTGCCTCCTAGAGCAGCAGTCCCCAACCCTTTTGGTACCAAGGACTGATTTCATAGAAGACAATTTTTCCACAGACGCTGGGGAAGGGGGGCGCGGGGAGGATGTTTTCGGGATGAAAGTGTCCCACCTCAGATCATCAGGCATTATTTAGATTCTCATAAGGAGCGTGCAACCTAGATCCCTCGCATGCACAATTCACAATAAGGTTCGCACTCTTGGGGACCTCTGTCCTAGAGGTATTTGTTGGCATCTGTATCAGTTAGTTATTGCTACATACCAATCTACCCCAAAATAAGTGGCTCAGACAATAGTAATTTATCCTTCCTCATGTGTTTATGGGTTAATGGGGCAGTTTTGGTCAGTGGCTGGTCTCAATGGTAGTCAGCCAGCATTTACCTAGGTGGATTTGCTGCTTGCCTTGCCCCATGTGGTCCCCTCCTCCAGCAGGCTAGTCCAGGCATCATAATTTAGTCTGGAACTGCCACATGTTCTTGGCCAAAGCCCAAGGCCAGTACAGATTCAGGAAATAGAGGGGAGCTGCAAAGTCACTGCAAAATGTGTGGGAAATTGGAGCCATTTTTCATCAATCTACCACATCACCTGAGACCAACTTGTCAACCGTCTTTCAATATTCAATGGAATTCCTTATCTGAGAGTGTCAACTAGCCAAAACATGGCTGAGACCAAAGAAAGTAATAGATCCTCTGAGCCAGTTCTGAGATGCAAGTAATAGGTCCTCTGAGCCAGTTTTAAGATGATTGCTAGGCTCACGGCAGATTAAAAGCTTTAAAATTAGAAGCTGCATAGTGACCTAAACCAAAACCAGAGTGGTCAGGGGCTGTGTATACAGTCTAGAACACAACAGTCCAATAGGATTAGAGCCTGAAAAGGACAAATGATATTTGGTGTTTTGTTTCAAAAAGTGCATAATTCATTTTATAAAGATCCTCCCCCCACATGATTTGAATTTCATATAATAGTGTTTTTGTGTCTAGTCACAACCTGGAACAACATTCCTAAGGGACTCTACACCTGCAACCAAGGAATCATTGATTTACTAGGAGATCTAACTCTAGCTGGCTACTCTTTGCTTCTTACAAATGAGCTCTGTCTTTGACTACTTTTGCAGAAACCACGTTGGTGGATCCCAAGGAATTTCTCCTTTCCAGGAGGAGCCAAGGCAGGATAGCCTAACAGTTAGTTTCCTATACATCTCATGAAAAATAAATCTGCGCTTTGGGAGGCTGAGGCGGGTGAATCACGAGGTCAAGAGATCGAGACCATCCTGGCCAACATGGTGAAACCCTGTCTCTAATAAAAATGCAAAAATTGGCTGGGTGTGGTGGCTCACACCTGTAATCCCAGCACTTTGGGAGGCCGAGGCGGGCGGATCACGAGGTCAGGAGTTCGAAACCAGCCTGGCCAACATGGTGAAACCCCATCTCTACTAAAAATACAAAAATTAGCTGGGCGTGGTGGTGTGCACCTGTAATCCCAGCTACTGGGGAGGCTGAGGCAGGAGAATGGCTTCATTGAACCCAGGAGGCAGAGGTTGCAGTGAGCCGAGATCGTGTCACTGCGCTCCAGCCTGGGTGACAAGAAAGACTCCGTCTTAAAAAAAAAAAAAAATTAGCCGGGCGTGGCGGCGCGCGCCTACAGTCCCAGCTATTCGGGAGGCTGAGGCAGGAGAATCGCTTGAACCGGGGAGGCGGAGTTTGCAGTGAGCCGAGATCGTGCCACTGCACTCCAGTCTGGCGACAGAGCGAGACTCTGTCTCAAAATCAATCATTCAATCAATCTGCTCTCAGTGTCTCGAGGCGGGCTTTCACCAAACGTCAACCTCACATCTATTCCGCGACCGGGTCAGTAAGGAAGGGCCCAGCGGTCGTCGAACTACCACAGCTATTTCGGCCCCGCCCCGTCCCGCCCCCAGCTTTGGACCCACCCTTTCCCCCGCTTCTTGCCCTCTTGGGAGCTCTGTTCCCCTTTGGCATCGCCCGGGGACACCAATTAAATGCAGCTTCACACTGTGACTGCCCCTGGGAACCCTCATTTTATTTTATTTATTTATTTATTTTTGAGAAGGAGTCTCGCTCTGTCGCCCAGGTGGAGTGCAGTGGCTGATCTCGGCTCACTGCAACCTCCGCCTCCCGAGTTCAAGCGATTCCCCTGCCTCAGCCTCTGGAGTAGCTGAGATTACTGGCGCGCACCAACACGTCCAGCTAATTTTTGTATTTTTAGTAGAGATGCGGTTTCCCCATGTTGGTCACGTTGGTCTCGAACTCCTGACCTCGTGATCTGCCCGCCTCGGCCTCCCAAAGTGCTGTGATTACAGGTGTGAGCCACCGCGCCCGGCCGGAACCCTCATTTATTCTATTTTTTTTTGAGACGGAGTCTCGCTCTGTCGCCCAGGCTGGAGTGCAGTGGCGGGATCTCCGATCACTGCAAGCTCCGCCTCCCGGGTTCGCGCCCTTCTCCTGCCTCAGTGTCCCGAGTAGCTGGGACTACAAGCACCCGCCACCACGCCCGGCTAATTTTTTGTATTTTTAGTAGGGGCGGGGTTTCACCGTGTTAGCCAGGATGGTCTCGATCTGCTGACCTCGGGATCCGCCCGCCTTGGTCTCCCAAAGTGCTGGGATTACAGGCGTGAGCCACAGCGCCGGGCCCGGAATCCTCGTTTTAAATAAGGGCCACGCCGGAGTTTGATTTTGAACTGATCGGCCAACGCCACCTGGCAGCATACTGTACTGCTTAACTACGCTTCCAGCTTCGTCCCTCGCCAGGTCCCGCCTGGATCCTGCGCCCCGCCCCCGTCCCCACACTCTACGCGCCCCGCCCTCCGCGCTCAGCCGACTGGGGCCTTGTAAAGGAACCGGAACCCGGCGGGAGAGAGCCCCGGGGGCGGGGTGTACGTGGTGCGGCACTGCGCGTGCGCGCGAGGCCTCTTGCGTCATTTAGCCGCGCCTAGGTTTTCCGGCGCCGGCCCTAGGTCCCGGCAGCGGTGGTGACGGCGGTGCCGGAGGTTGTCCTTGGCAGGTTTTCCTCGGCGCTTCTCCATGGAGGAGGCGGTGCGAACGGCTTCAGCCCCGAATGCTCGCATCTCCCACTGGACGGCGACGAAGGCGGTGGCCGTGCGAGCGCAGGACTGGGCGGCCTGTGTGGGGGTGTGAGCCGCGGTGCCCAAGGCTGCGCCGGCGAGGGGAAGCCGCGCGGCCGGCCGGCCGACTAGGGTGAGGTCGCCACTCCTTCCTTTCAGGCAAGCGCGAAGGGGCTGACTTGGTGGCGAGCCAGCCCGCCTTGTGTCGGAGAAGGGTTCTTCGGGCAACTTTCCTTTCCGGGTGTTCTGAAGCGGTTTTCCTGTAATCCTCAGTGAGGAAACCCACCGTGAATCGGATTGCCGTTCAGTCCCACGGAAGCCTGGCTCGTTGGCCATGTCGGGGACGCATGTTCATTAAGTTCATTAAAATAATTTCATTTGTCTTGGTGAGTTTTAGAAGGTGGCTTCAGCTGCTGCGGGGATCATAACTGACAGTTAAACAAGCCTTAGAAGTCTGCTGTGACGTTTTGAGCCTGACTGTTTTAATTTCCTTTTATAAAATCACGGAATCCTATTTCCCTCTCTATACAATTGCTCAAAACTGTGTGTTTAGTTTGGTGTTTGTGCCTCCTTAATTTCTTTTCTAGGTTGTTAGTTCATTTAATACAGGACTGCATGTTAAGTTCTGTTTCTAGAAATCCTGTGTATAGCCATGTGCCCGGTTAATACTTTTTTTAGTAAGAGGAAATATCAGAGTCGAGAGTTTCCATTCCAGTAAGCTGCCTGTCGAAGCAGTAGTTGTGCTCGATTGAGTAGGTTTTATGTTGATTGGTTGGCAAAATGAGTATGAAGGCTAGTAACCAAATTATAAAACGTACTTAGTAACTTTAAGTCTTTTGCCTACTTCTGTGTTTTCTTCTTTCTAGGCTGGAGCTACTCGGCCAGGGTTTAAGACTTTAAATGAGAATAAAGGGTGGTATTTACGAGGAAATGAGAGTGAATAAGTCATCTCTAACCTCTCCCAGCCTTTTTTTCATAAGAGAGACCATATTAAACTTACATGTAAGTTAAAATTGTAATTTATAACTAATATTGTTGCATAGTTAGGGTTGGAGATTTAGGTTCTGTAATATTTATAAGTACAGTACTGCTTTGAAAAATTATTAGCCAAGTGAGAGGTTGGAAAAAATTAAATCTAACATGTATTTAATTTTTCTGAGCCAAGGTCTTGCTCTGTCCCCAGGCTAGACGGTGCAATCTGGGCTCACTGCAACTTCCGCCTCCCGGGCTCAAGTGCTCCTCCCACCTCAGCCTCCCCAGCAGCTGGGACCACAGACGTGCGGCACCATGCCTGGCTAATTTTTGTATTTTTTTTAGAACCGGGGTTTCACCATGTTACACCGGCTGGTCTCCTAATTCTGGACTTAAGCGATCCAACCACCTTGGCCTCCAAAGTGCGGGGATTACAGGTGTGAGCCACCGAGCCGGGCCTAAGCTAACTTAGATAGCAGTGGAAACCAGGTAGTAAAGATTTCGTAGAAAACTAAGAGCTCTATATATAGTTTTTTTTTTTGTTTTTTTTTTTTTGAGATGGAATCTTGCTCTGTCACTCGGGCTGGAGTGCAGTGGCACGATCTCTGCTCACTGCAACCTCCGCCTCCTGGGTTCAAGCGGTTCTCCTGCCTCAGCCTCCGGAGTAGCTGGGGTTACAGGCGCCGGCGACCACGCCCAGCTAATTTTTGTATTTTTAGTAGAGACGGGGGTTTCACCTTGTTGGCCAGGCTGGTCTCTTAACTCCTGACCTCAGGTGATCCGCCCGCCTCGACCCCCCAAAGTGCTGGGATTACAGGCGTGAGCCACCGCGCCCGACCTAAGAGCTCTAAAGTGTTAATGTAATGTGGGCAGCCGGGTGTAGAAGTAAAGTCCCTTTCTGTGTGGTCCTCTGCATGTGACTCTTTTTTACCCCTGGGAGGTTTCCTTAGCTGTAAAGTGATACCTTCATCTTATTGCGTAGAAGAGAAATGAGTAGAAATGATGCATGGAATAGTGCCTGGGGAGGTGTTCAGTAAGTGGTAGCTATTGTTAGGGAGAGATAATAAAAAGAATTTCACATATTTTCAGAATGTTTTTAATAGGTAAATATGGTTTACTCATATTTAAAACACATGACTTTGAATATTACATTTTTTTATAGATGGTGTAAGCTTCATTTAAACTGATTTATTTGATTGCTATACATTGTGATATTGAACAGAAAGATAAGACTTCTGCAGAGAATAAAAGGTGGGGTGGGGGTGGGAGAGGAAATGGGAGATTTAGGTCACAGGATACAAAGTAGCAGATATTCAGGATGTACAACTTGAGAACTACAGCTAATGAAATTGTATTAGAGATTTTCCTTCAATGAGTAGATTTTAGCTGCTTTTGTCATAAAAAAGTAACTACATGAGATGATAGATATGTTGATTTGCTCTACTGTGGTAACTGTGTTAGTATCTGTATGTTTCCCATAACATAAATCTCAAATATACACAATTTGCAAAGATTTATCTGTGTTGTAGAATTAAATACACCCCTCAGACTAGATTAGAGCATCCTTAAACATTTCTGCATATCTATTTGTTTTATGTAAATGAAGTTGAAACAGAACTACTTAAATAGTTCTGTAATGGCTCCAGATGAAAATAAATTATGATCTGGCCAAATAAATGGGTTGCAGATCTGTTCCTTGCCTTTTGGGTTTGTGTATGGCCCATAGGGCCCCACGTGATCTGACACTCACCTTTTTTTTTCTTCTGAGATGCAGTTTTGCTCTTGTTGCCCAGGCTAGAGTGCAGCTGTGCGATCTCGGCTCACTGCAACCTCCGCCCTCCAGTTTCTAGCGATTCTCCTGCCTCAGCCTCCCGAGTAGCTGGGATTACAGGCGCCCGCCACCATGCCTGGCTGATTTTTGTATTTTTAGTAGAGTCGGGGTTTCACCATGTTGGTCAGGCTGGTCTCGAACTCCTGACCTCATGATCCACCCGCCTCGACCTCCCAAAGTGCTGGGATTATAGGCGTGAGCCACCGCGCCCGGCCGGACACTCGCTTTTTCACGCTAATGTATCTCACCTGCCCTCACTCAAGGTCAGCCACAGTGGCCTTTGTTTAGGAAACTGCACACCCGCTCATACCTCAGAGCCCCTGCACTTGCTTCTCTCTCCTTTGTTCTTTTCAAAAAGCTCTTTGAAGCTTCTACTCAAGTGTTACTGCTCAGCAAGGCCTCCTAACTATGGTCATTAGAATCCCCCAACTCAACTCCCCAGTGCCCTTCACATGTTTTATTTTTTACCATAACATTTGCCACTTTTCCAGAATAATGTCTTTATTTCGTTTATTATTTCGCCCTACCTCTAGCAGGAGATAACCCCATGTGGGCTGTTGTACCCCTGCTCCTAGAATATTGTACATGCTCAGTAAACGTTGGTTGGTTGAGTAAATGATATAAGCAAGCCACATGTTCACTGGGAGCCACAGTGAAGGCAATACTAGTTAAGTACCAAAGTAACCGTAACAGAGGGGTAGTTAGTGTCAACCAAATATGGAGGAGGAAAGGTAGGAGCAGGTTAGAATAGCAGCAGAGTGCTGACCGGGGTAGAACACAGGATGTGTGAAATATGGTATGGGGAAATAAGATCTAGGCTGGGCGCGGTGGCTTACGCCTGTAATCCCAGCACTTTGGGAGGCTGAGGTGGGTGGATCACAAGGTCAGGAGATCGAGACCATCCTGGCTAACATGGTGAAACCCCATCTCTACTAAAAAAAAAACCCAAAATATTGGCCGGGCACGGTAACTCACGCCTGTAATCCCAGCACTTTGGGAGGCCGAGGCAGAAGGATCACCCGAGGTCAGGAGTTCAAGACCAGCCTGACCAACATGGCGAAACCCCATCTCTACTAAAAATACAAAAATTAGCTGGGCGTGGTTGCAGGCACCTGTAATCCCAGATACTCAGGAGGCTGAGGCAGGAGAATCACTTGAACCTGGGAGGCAGAGGTTGCAGTGAGCCAAGATTGCGCCAGCGCACTCCAGCCTGGGGGATAGAGCGAGACTCTGCATCCAAAAAAATTAAAAAATGCAAAAAATTTGCCTAGTGTAGTGGTGGGCGCCTGTAGTCCCAGCTACTCGGGAGGCAGAGGCAGGAGAATGGCATGAACCCAGGAGGCGGAGCTTGCAGTGAGCAGAGATTGCGTCACTGCACTCCAGCCTGGGCAACAGAGTGAGACTCTGTCTCAAAAAAAAAAAAAAGAGAGATCTAAAAGGTAGGTTTGGAACAAATGATGCAGGGTCTTTGTTACTAGTTTACACAATTTGGTCTTCTTGCTACAAACAGGGGTCGTGATTCCAAATTCTTCAGCAGAAGGCTGAGATTGGCAGAGATGAGGAGGCCTGGATTATAGTTCTGCTTCTGCTACCTCAGCTGTGTGACGTGTTACTTAACATCTCTGGACTTGGGCCAGGTGCGGTGGCTCACGCCTGTAATCCCAGCACTTTAGGAGGCCAAGGCTGTTGGATCACGAGGTCAGGAGATCGAGACCATCCTGGCTAACATGGTGAAACCCCCGTCTCTACTAAAAATACAAAAAAATTAGCCATGCATGGTGGTGGGTGCCTGTAGTCCCAGCTACTCAGGAGGCTGAGACAGGAGAATGGCGTGAACCCGGGAGGCAGAGCTTGCAGTGAGCCGAGATAGCGCCACTGCACTCCAGCCTGGGGGACAGAGCGAGACTCCATCTAAAAAAAAAAAAAAAATCTCTGGACCTGGTTCCTCATTGTGGGCCCTTACCACATATCTTTTTAATTAAGGCTTTGTTGAAATGTCAAAAGTGCTGTGAAAAGTTTAAGGCTGTCTATGCACTTCATTTGGTGTAATTTTTTCAATTTTTTCCTTTTTTTTTTTGAGACGGAGTCTCGCCCTGTGGCCCAGGCTGGAGTGCAGTGGTGCAATCTTGGCTCACTGCAACCTCCACCTCCCAGGTTCAATAGATTCTCCTTCCTTAGCCTCACCAGTAGCTGGGATTACAGGCACCCGCCCTCATGGCAAATACAAAAAAATAATTTTTATGTTTTTGTAGAGATGGGGTTTCACCAGGTTGGCCAGGTATGTTTTGTAGAGATGGGGTTTCACCATGTTGGCCAGGCTGGTCTCGAACTCCTGGCCTCAGGTGATCTCCCACCTCGGCCTCCCAAGGTGCTGGGGTTACAGATGTGAGCCGCCGTGCTCGGCCCAGTTGGTGTAATTTTTAAAGTTTGCTAACTTTGGTGATTGTGTTGCCTACTGATAATCATTTTGCAAAGCAGGTCCTAGTTTAGGTTTTCCTTATTAGAATACTAGTCCATTTTTGCCTGTTTCTTAAATCATGTGTTTTCCACATTTTTTAAGAAAGTGGACTAATTTCATAATTTTCTTTTATTTGAGATGTATTTATTCCATTTTTGACATGCTTTATGTTTAATGAAAGTTCACATTACAAATATTAGTAAAATCAATTGTGAAAATTGAACTTGTTGGCCGGGAGTGGTGGTTCACTCCTGTAATCCCAGCACTTTGGGAGGCCAAGGTGGGCGGATCACAAAGTCAGGAGTTCGAGACCAGCCTGGCCAACATAGTGAAACCCCGTCTCTACTACAAAAAATTAGCCGGGTGTGGCAGTACACGTCTGTAATCCCAGCTATGCGGGAGGCTGAGGCAGGAGACTTGCTTGAACCCGGGAGACGGAGGTTGCAGTGAGCCGAGATGGCGCCATCGCACTCCAGCCCGGGCGACAGTGCAAGACTGTGACTCAAAAAAAAAAAGAGTTTGTTAAAATGTAGAGAGAACAAGCAGAACAAAAAAATTAGCTAGGTGTCGTGGTATACGCCTGTGGTCCTGTTGATTTGAGCAGCTGAGGTCAGAGATCACTGCAACCCAGGCATTTGAGACAGCAGTGAGCGATGATCGCGCCACTGCACTCCAGCCTGGGAAACAGAGTGAGACACTGTCAAAAACCACAACAACAACAACAACAACAAAAAAGCCCTTCCCCTCCCACACACAGAATAAGCAGAAAATCATAAGACTCTTTAAAAGTGTTTAAAACGTCAGTAGGTTATTTTTGGAATTTTTAATTCTCTTAGTCGTGGAGTCCTTGAGGATAGGCCCTTTGATCATCTTTACAACTTCAGTGCCTGGCAGATAATAGCTGCTCAGTGTTTGTTGAGCAATGGTCACAGTTCGGATTACTCCCGAGTCCCCCTAAGTAAACTGGGCAGGTGAACCACATGGAGCTTGGGAACCTAGTTGAAGTGAAATTTAGAAAATTTTACTGTTTATCTGTCTTTAATACTGGCCCTGCCTCATGGCTAATTCTTAAGAAGAAAAAATATCTCTGTTGCAGGCTCTCCCGGCTGTGATAGACCTTCAGTTACAGAGAGAGGGAGCAGAGTGGGACCAGGTCTGAGAATAGTGAAGCAACTCATTCCTTTCAGGACATTCCCTCTGATGTCCTATTTTCAAACTGTAAGTCAGAATGAGATCACTTATTTTCTTGGTGGCAGAAGGCTGCTTTATAATTTGAAGGCTTGCAAATTGTATGCTGCTTGTCATCCCCCAGCCCTCCACACATACACCCTGGTACAGTTCCATGCATGAAGAAACAACCAGATCACCTTATTTGGTGATATGCCTCATTCTAGAAAGATTTGTAAATCAAATTTGCTACCGTAAATGAGTGCCTTTTGTGGGGAAACCACCACAGAAAACCTAAGTAATTGTTTTTAAGGAACTTAAAGAGTTTACCTTGAAGATAGAACAGTAGTTGAGAATTAAATAGTAAAGAAGAGAAAATGCCTGTGGGCTGGAGTTAATTGCAGAAGTCTTTGTAGCACAGCTTAAGGTGTACCCTGGCCTTGAGTGGAGAGCAGGCTTTGGGTTGCAGGAGGAGGAGGAGGGGAGGGCCTGTCTGAGGGTGTCAGGTTTCTGTGTTAGGAAATGAAGTGGGCAGGAGAGGGGTGCCTGGCCAGGGGGACTCTCGAAAGCCATATGCACATGATGGACCCAGCTGGTCAGAAAAGGCCTTCTCTCTGCTTTTTGTGTTTGAAATTTCCCATAACACATAAATTAAAATAAAAGGGAAAGGGGAAAATAGATTTTAAATAGCATCATGAAACTTTATGTAAAATAAATATGGAGAAAATCTCATATGATAGCCTTAGTAAGGTTAGGAATAATGTTCATTGGCCTTAGGATTAAATGAGTAAAATTCCATTATATGTATTGTTTTAATCACCTCTTCACCTTGTCAGTGAGAGAGGGATTTCCATCCCACAGTACTGACACTGGACAGACGAGATGGACGGAAGTTTCTTAGTCTTTCGCTTAGGATAGAACGGAGAACCAGGGGCTGCGGGAGGCAAGGCTTTGTGGTAACGAGAGTGGCTGTGGTTCCTGCAGAAAGACTAATAATTGCTTTCAGAATTCCTTGGGCTGGCAGGGCAGTGGGGCCTACTCCTCAGGCATAAGCAGCAACTGTACCTGTGCCTGGTCACTGTGATGAGAATTGTTTGGCATCTTGGGGAGGGAAGCTTGCCCTGAGGCCATTAAAAGCTCCTGGTTTTTACCAGATGTCAAGGCAACATGTAATACTGGCTCTTAATGTTAGACCTTACACCACATGTATGTAACTTGCATTTAGTGAAAGTTAACATTAAGTGTTAGTAAATATTAGTAAATTAAGTAGTTACAAATCAGTTATTTGAAAGGTTCATGATACAAGTAAAATCTGGGCAGGATGCAGTGGGTGACACTTGTAATCTACCACTTTGGGAGGCCGAGGCAGGCAGATCGCTTGAGCTCAGGAGTTTGGGACCAGCCTGGACAACATGGTGAAACTCTGTATCGACAAAAAATACCAAAATTAGCCAGGTGGTGTAGTGTTGCACACTTATGGTCCCAGCTACTTGAGAGGCTGAGGTGGGAGGATCACTTGAGCCTGGGAAGTCGAGGTTGCAGTGAACCATGATTGTGCCACTGCACTCCAGCCTGGGTGACAGAATGAGACCCTGTCTCCAAAATAATAATAATAATAATAATAATTATTATTATTATTATTTAAATTTGGATTTGTGAGTCTGTTGTTTTTTGTTTTTGTTGTTGTTTTTTTTTTGTTTGTTTGAGACCGAGTTTCGCTCTTGTTGCCCAGGCTGGAGTGCAATGGTGTAATCTTGGCTCACCACAACCTCTGCCTCCCGGGTTCAAGCGATTCTCCTGCCTCAGCCTCCCGAGTAGCTAAGATTACAGGTATGTGCCACCATGCCCTGCTAATTTTTTTGTATTTTTAGTAGAGACAGGGTTTCTCCATGTTGGTCAGGCTGGTCTCGAACTCCCGACCTCAGGTGATCTGCCCGCTTCTTCCTCCCAAAGTGCTGGGATTACAGGCCTGAGCCACCGCGCCCGGCCTTGTGAGTCTATTGTTATACTGGGATTAGAACTGTAGATAAACCTGACTTTTTTCTGGATATCATCTTTATTGGTAAGAAGGTTCAATTTTATTGCTTACAGAATATTCAGACTATAAATTTGATTTGTTCCATTACCATAGAACTTAAAGTATATAGTGAGCAATACAGCTGTCAAGTAGTCACTTCCACAGCAGTAGAACTTGCATGATAATTAAGAACATTGCTTCATGAAGACAAAGATTAAAGGAGGATGATGATTCTTTTTTTTTTTTTCCGAGACGGAGTCTTGCTCTGTCACCTAGGGTGGAATGCAGTGGGGTGATCTCGGCTTACTGAAACCTCCGCCTTCTGGCTTCAAGCAGTTCTCCTGCCTCAGCCTCCCAAGTAGCTATGATTACAGGAACCCGCCACTGCGCCAGCTAATTTTTGTATTTTTAGTAGAGATGGGGTTTCACCATGTTGGCAAGGATGGTCTCGAAATCCTGACCTCGTGATCTGCCCACCTCGGCCTCCCAAAGTGTTGGGATTACAGGCATGAGCCACCGTGCCCGGCCGATGATTTTTATGTCAGATGATCTTTTTTATTTTATCTTATTTTTATTTTTTTGAGACAGAGTTTCTATCTTGTTGCCCAGGCTGGAATGCAATGGCACTATCTCAACTCACCACAACCTCTGCCTCCCTGGTTGAGGCAATTCTCCTGCCTCAGCCTCCCAGGTAGCTGGGATTACAGGCATGTGCCACCACGCCCAGCTAATTTTTGTATTTTTAGTAGAGACGGGGTTTCTCCATGTTGGTCAGGCTGGTCTCGAACTCCCGACCTCAGGTGATCCGCCCACCTCGGCCTCCCAAAGTGCTGGGATTACAGGCGTGAGCCACCACGCCTGGTCGATGATTTTTATGTTGGATGATCTTAAGGAATGCTTTCATTGAAGTGAGGTGACCCTGACTCATGAGAAGGATATACCTGCCAGGAGGGCTGAAGCGTTTGGGTAGCTCGGTTTCTCACTCCCATTTTCGTAGTCCGTATAACCATTTTCCTTGCATTTTCACTTCCATCTAGTACTGCCACTTGCTAGCATATTGGATAAATGATTATGGTTCTCAAGTTTAAAAGCTATAAAACATCGGTTACATTTTAGGATGCCAATCTAAATGATGCAGTAGTTTTCTGTGTATTAATGGCTGCTTTGTTTGTTTGTTTGAGACCAGGCATAACTATGTTGCCCAGGCTAAACTTGAACTCCTGGTTTCAAGCAATCCTTCTGCCTCAGCCTCCTGGTGTGTACCACTGTATCTGGCTGTTTTTAAGGGCTAATTATGAATTATTCCATTTGGCTGGGGTGGTGGCTCATGGCTGTAATCCTAGCACTTTTTGAAGGCTGAGATGGGCGGATCACTCGAGGTCAGGAGTTCCAGACCAGCCTGGCCAACATAGTGAAACTCCATCTCTACTAAAAATACAAAAACTAGCTGGGCATGGCAGCATGTGCCTGTAGTCCCAGCTACTCAGAGGCTGAGGCAGGAGAATCACTTGAACCTGGGCAGTAGAGGTTGCAGTGAGCCGAGATCATGCTACTGCACTCTAGCCTGGGTGACAGAGCAAGACTCTTGTCTCAAAAAAAAAAAAAAAAAAAAAAAAAAGAATTACTCCATTCATCCATATTCACCCAGAAAACACACATTAAGACCTATTTTGAGACTACCAGATAGCTATGTGCATAGGCTAAAAGGGCGAATATCATGCAGGAGCCCAGGAGCTTACAGTCTGATGCAGGAGACTGGCTGATAAACACAGATCAACAAGCCATGCAGGATGCAGTGGGAACAGTGTAAGCACACCTGCTTTTTGTTGCAATCTTACAGCGTGTAGAAATGATGATTGTCCCTGACATCTTGTTTCAAGTTCTCCTACCTTGTCTTTAAATGTGTTTACATCTCTGTAATTTATTTTTACTGTCAATGAGACTCACCTATCTAGAATTATTCCATAGATATGCTGAAGTTAACTTGAGGCTTGAGATGACCAGTATTTGGCACATAAAGTGGGTAATACCTTAGATTGTTCAGCTTCTTTCTTTTTATGTATATATCTGTTAATGTGGTGACTCATCCAAGATCACACCTCCAGCTGGAAGCAAGACGGGGTCTCCAAACTCCCCACCTAAGACTTTTCTCATGGAATCTTGCCTTATGAATGGCACAGAGGGACTAGGGGTACTTTTCCAAATCTGTTAAGGGAGAGGTCAGTTCTGGAAGGCTTTCGGGTAGACAGTCTCATCCATGAGATTATGACTGATACTTAGAAGAACTCAGCACCTTTTTGACTTGAGTGTTTTCTTTCAATGTTTCAGTATTTTTTTTTTTTTTGAGATAGAGTCTCGCTCTGTCGCCCAGGCTGGAGTGCAGTGGCGCGATCTCGGCTCACTGCAAGCTCCCCGTCCCAGGTTCATGCCATTCTCCCGCCTCAGCCTCCCAAGTAGCTGGAACTACAGGCGCCTGCCACCACTTCCGGCTAATTTTGTTTTTGTATTTTTAGTAGAGATGGGGTTTCACCGTGTTAGCCAGGATGACTCGATCTCCTGACCTTGTGATCCACCAGCCTCAGCCTCCCAAAGTGCTGGGATTACATGTGTGAGCCACCGCGCCCGACCCAGTGTTTCAGTATTATTTTGTCTTAGGTTGTGGGGTGACCTGGCTTTTGGGACTTGCTGGTGGTTTCTACCTTGGCATCCTTGTACCTTTTGAGCACTAAAGGTTGTATTTTAAAAACGTTAATATGGAAATGTTCAGAAATACACAAAAGCAGATATAGTAATACAATGAGTCCCTGTGTACCCATCACCCAGCTTTTACCCATCACTGAATCCCCATTTTCTACAGAAAATTTTTGGTTTTTCAAAAATCAGGGTGGAAACTTCATACTTGCAGTAAGCCTGTTTGTGTGTGTGAGTTAGCTATCTCAGTGGCATAGAGGAATGAGCACTTAGATCATGCTCACAGTTCTGTGAGTCACTGGGACGATTTTGTTCTGTACCCTTCACTCTGTTGTGATCAGGACATGCACTTCCTGTGGCTATGGCAGGGTGCGAAGGGGCAAGCAGAAGTAAGAGAGGCCTCTAGGTGTAGACTCAGAACTGGCACTCTGTTCCTTACACCTCCCTCCCATTGGCCAAAGCAAGCTTGATGGCCAAGCGGCAAATCAGGGGTGAGGGAGAATAGTCTTCTCATTGAATCATACAGGAACGATAATGCACCTTAATGGGCAAATCAAAAACATTGGACTTTTTCATTTCTTGGGAGTAATATCAACTCAGTGTGATAATGTCGTGTTTACCATTATTGCAGTCTCCCTGCAGTAATGTTATCACTCCTTATTTAACTATCTCTTGTCTGTCTTCCTTGTGAAGCTAGAGAGCTTAGCATAATAAACGCTTAGCACATAATATCCAGTAAATACTGTTTGAATGGATGGATAAAGTAATTGAGGGGCTAGGTGGACAGGGAGTTTAAGTTGCTTTGGTTAAAAGCCAGTGTCTCATAACTTGAAGAACGGAAAAACATGGCTAGTTAGGGTCCTGACTGAATTGCAGATTAGTTTTGGAACTCCGAAGTTAAATTGTGGGACTAAAAATCCCAAGATGTGCTAGAAAGCTGATCTGGCAGTTAGAACCAATCATAAACCTTGTTGCTAAAAACTATTTTTTCTCTGCTATCCACACTGTGCTTTAGTTCATCTGTCAACTGAGTTTATGAGTTGGCCATTTGGAAAAACAATTGCAGTCTTGGTAAGCCTCTGCTTCCTGTCTGGCCTCGAGGATTGAGCCCTCCAGATACCATGGTCCTCATGTTCTCCAAAGGCCACCGGTACCATACTGCACGCCCCAGCAGACACCTCTCTGCAAGAATTGTTACCCTCTGATAAATAATGTGAAATCTGCCTTCTCTCAGCACATCCCTGAATAGGCTAAATAAATAAATTAGCATATGCTTATGTGCACCTATTGCTAAGAAGAAAATGTATGGGTGAGAAAATTTTGAGTTTCTTTGTATAGATTATTCAAAAGGACACATTTGAGAACCTGATAAATGTATTTCCAAACTAGATTTGTATATTATGCCTAATTTTTTCTGCAGAATTTTTTTTTCTTATCAGAAAGTTTTATTAAGGCTAGAAACATTTTTTTTTAAAATATGGGATCAGAGTTTATGAAATCAGTTTAAACTTGGTTTTATAGCATGATCCTATCTTTTGCCATAATTTGAAGAAATATACAGGTTGGTGCTAAATTTAAATAATAAATATTATCAATATTAGTAATGAAGGAGCTATTTTTTCTTTAGGGGAAGAGAAATGGAGTAAAATTTTGAATTGCATGTGAGCTGTCATGAGCATTCTGTGAAAACCACATTTCATTTTTTATTGTTTAGGTTTGAAGACTGCTTCATTCTGCCTCTAGTACCAGCGGTTTCTCTGTTCTGTGATCAATGTGATTCACAGGAACTCCTTAAGTAACAAACGAAATGAGCCAGGGGCGTGGAAAATATGACTTCTATATTGGTCTGGGATTGGCTATGAGCTCCAGCATTTTCATTGGAGGAAGTTTCATTTTGAAAAAAAAGGGCCTCCTTCGACTTGCCAGGAAAGGCTCTATGAGAGCAGGTAGGTTATGCCTTATGTGACTTTGAAGTGACCTCAGTGTCTACCTACATGCACAGGTTCTTTGTACAAGACCACATCTTCATTCCTCGTGAGTGTATTTGAAACTTTGAATTGTTCAAGAGTTCTAAATGTTTACAAAGTTGATGTTTGGTTATTTATATTGAGAAAAGAAGTGAGAAGATGTCATAATTAGTTAACTACTCAGTCCTGCAGTTATCATCAAAATGGAAACAGGGACCAATGCCCAAGTAATATCCAACCTTTTCTTTAAATTTTGATATGTCTGCAGGGAAGGAAATAAGAGTCCATGGTTAGGCTGGGCGTGGTGGCTCATGCCTGTAATCCCAGCACTTTGGGAGGCTGAGGCGGGTGGATCACCTGAGGTCAGGAGTTCGAGACCAGCCTGGCAAACATGGTGAAACCCCATCTCTACTGAAAATACAAAAATTAGCCGGGCATGGTGGCCTGGCCTATAGTCCCAGCTACTCAGGAGGATGAGGCAGCAGAATCGCTTGAACCCGGGAGGCAGAAACCTCTGCAGTGAGCCAAAATGGCACCACTGCACTCCAGCCTGGGTGACAGAGTGAGACTCCGTCTAAAAAAAAAAAAAAGCCATGGTTAAAATCAGAATTTATTAAAGGCTGGGATCTTTTGTCCATGATAGTAGACGTTCTGACTTTGAACTTCGACATTTTGGCAGGAAGGAAAGACTGGGCTTCCCCAGCTTGAAGAGTATCCAGTTTAGTGAACTTCGGCTGGTGTAGGTTGTTTCTCTAGAAATCACTGACAAGTCACAAGACCCTGCGGGGTAATCAGGATGATTGGCCCTGCCCTGACTCCTCTATCAGGGACACTCGTGGTAGCTCCCGGTGTTAAGTGGCGTTATGGTCACATTCCATCATTCTATCCTGGCTTCATTTTTAGACCTGATTGGACCTTATGAGGAGAGCTGCCTTGGCAGGAAACAGTACCACCCTTCTGTCTTCCCTGTGCCATCTCTGTGGCTAAACCTAATTCAGCAGTCAGAAAAACATGAAATGATAGCCTCTATGGGGTTCAGTGGACAGAGGAGAAACTGTCAGCATCTACTGCTTGTTCCCCTAGTCCCTGATGCTTGGTCCTAAGAGGTGCTCTCACTGTTCATGACGGGTATGCTTGTAAAGGATTCATTCACCTTGGCAAGATAATCATTAAGAAATTGTCAGAGAAATCCCGAGTCATGCAGAAACCTTTATTTAAAGGAGTAACTGAGATATTTAAAAATCTGTCATTACTAATAGTTATAATTTATACAAGAGTCTTACAGTCTTCCAAAGATGTGAAATATTTCTTCATTCACAGGTCAAGGTGGCCATGCATATCTTAAGGAATGGTTGTGGTGGGCTGGACTGCTGTCAAGTATGTATAAAGAACATTGCAAGAAAAATATGATAGCTATATATTAAAATATTTGCATATGGTATTATAGCCTCATTACTAGCAAGTTTTAAAGGTTTAAATAATCTTTTTTTTTTTTTTTTTGAGACAGAGTCTCACTCTGTCACCCAGGCTGGAGTGCAGTGGCGTGATCTTGGCTCAGTGCAACCTCCACCTCCTGGATTCAAGCGATTCTCCTGCCTCAGCCTCCCAAGTAGTTGGGATTACAGGCGTGCCACCACCACGCCCAGCTAATTTTTTGTATTTTTAGTAGAGACGGGGTTTCACTGTGTTGGTCAGGCTGGTCTCAAACTCCTGACCTCAGGTGATTCACCTGCCTTGCCCTCGCAAAGTGCTGGGATTACAGGCGTGAGCCACCGCACCCGGCCTACTTTTTTCATTTTTGTGAGTACTTAGTAGGTACTTATAGGGTACATGAGATACTTTAATAAAGGCATGCAATTCATAATAATTGCATTATGGTATCCATGGGTTATCCATCCCCTCAACAATTTATCCTTTGCAGGACAAACAATCCAGTTAGTCCTTTTTTTTGTTTTTGAGATGGAATCTTGCTCTGTCGCCAGGCTGTAATGCAGTGGCCCATCTCGGCTCACTGCAGCCTTCGCCTCCCGGGTTCAAGCGATTATCCTGCCTCATCCTCCTGAGTAGCTGAGACTACTGGTGCGCACCACTATGCCCAGCTAATTTTTGTATTTTTAGTAGAGACAGGGATTCACACGTTGGCCAGGCTGGTCTCGATCTCTTGACCTCGTGATCCGCCCACCTTGGCCTCCCAAAGTGCTGGGATTACAGGCGTGAGCCACCATGCCCAGCCGTTACTTATTTATTTATTTTTTGAGACACAGTCTTGCTCTGTTGCCAGGCTGGAGTGTAGTGGCACCATCTTGGCTCACTGCAACCTCTGCCTCCTGGGTTCAAGCGATTCTCCTGCCTCATCCTCCTGAGTAGCTGGACTACAGGTGTGCGCCACCAAGCCCAGCTAATTTTTGTATTTTTAGTAGGGAAGGGGTTTCACCATGTTGCCCAGGATGGTCTCGATCTCCTGACCTTGTGATCTGTCTGCCTCAGCCTCCCAAAGTGCTGGGATTACAGGTGTGAGCCACCGTGCCTGGCCTCTTAGTTATTTTTAAATGTACAATTAAATTATTATTGGGCCGGGCGCGGTGGCTCACACCTGTAATCCCAGCACTTTGGGAGGCCAAGGCGGGTGGATCACTTGAGGTCAAGAGTTCAAGACCAGCCTGGCCAACATGGTGAAACCCCGTCTCTACTAAAAATAGCAAAAATTAGCCGGGCGTGGTGGCAGGCGCCTGTAATCACAGCTACTCGGGAGGCTGAGGCCCGAGAATCGCTTGAAACTGGGAGGTGGAGGTTGCAGTGAGCTGATAACTGCACCACTGCACTCCAGCCTGGGTGATAGAGTGAGACTCAGTCTCAAAAAACAAAACAAAAAAAATTATTATTGACTGTAGTCACCCTGTTGTGCTATCAAATACTTGATGTTATTCACCAGGTATTCAAGTCTTTCTATTTGTCGTACCCTCATAGTGCATTTAAATGGAACGACAAGGCTTTTTTTTACCCATCTGATTAAAACATGTTTGATAGGCCTGTGCATTTTTAAAATTTCTGCTCAATTTAAGGTAATTTTGAAAGTTAAGAGGAGAATTCTGTTTTAATTTGTTGCCCCTCCATTTGTTCTCATTCCAAATTAAAAAGAGGTATGTATTTGATAAGACTTACCAAATAAAAATACAAAAAATCACCATGCCTATTTTGGTAATAACTTTTAAAAAGGCACGTGGAAAAAAATTATTCTGGGCCGGGCGTGGTGGCTCATGCCTGTAATCCCAGCACTTTGGGAGCCCGAGGTGGGTGGATCACCTGAGGTCAGGAGTGAGACCAGCCTGACCAACATGGAGAAACCTCGTCTCTAGTAAAAAAAAAAACAAAAGAATTAGCTGGGCATGGTGGTGCATGCCTGTAATCCCAGCTACTCGGGAGGCTGAGGCAGGAGAATCGCTTGGACCTGAAAGGCAGAGGTTACAGTGAGCTGAGATTGTGCCGTTGCACTCCAGCCTGGGCAACAAGAGTGAAACTGTCTCAAAAAAAAAAAAATATTCTGAAGACACTGAGCCTTGACTGACTGTTCAGTCAACAAATACTTATTGATCATGTCTTGTATGCCAGGCATTGTTCTAGGTGCTGGAGATACATCAGTGAGAGGAAAAGACTGAAAAATCTCCACCCACATGAAGCTTACATTCTAGGTGGGAGACATTAAACAAGATAAAGAAGTTATGTGTTTATGTGCCTGTGCGTGATGATAAATGGGAAGGAGAAGGAGTGAAGTCGGAAGGAGTGTTGTGAAATGGAGGATAGATAGGTTTATTAGGATGTTAGATCTGCAGCCAGGGCCAGCCTCGCTGAAAGGTATTTGGGTAGAAGATGTAAAGGAAGCGAGTGATCTGCCCATATGATATTTGGGGGAGAAACCCTTGAAGCAGGAGGAAACTGTAACTGTGAAGGCCACGAGTGGGGAGCATGCCAGGCCAATTAACGTGTGATACATAGCCCTCAGTGACTCCCCTCCTGGTATTCACACCTTTCTCTAATCCCCTTTCACAGTGAATTAGTGCAGTTCAAAACGGTGTGATCCAAGAATACCACAGAAGTGATGATGTGTGTCTTCCGAGGTGAAGCAGAGAGAGGCATTGCAGCTTTTTCCTGATTCCTTGGATTGCTCACTTTGAGAGAAGCCAGCTGCTGTGCTCTGAGGACACTCAGGCAGCCATGGAGAGCTCCCCAGGCTCTCACTGTGCCAGGACCTACTTGCCAGTCCTGTGAGTGAGCTACCTTGGCTCACCTGTTGTGTATTAAAAAATACACAACAATAGTCAGTTGGAAGGGAAAAAATGGATGAAGAGTTCTAAGGTTCTGGCATTATCCAGAAGGAAATAAAGCTAAATATTAATATTAGACTTCACAGGTTAAGCATACACGTAATTTCTAGAGTATTCAGTTAAAAAAAATAGAAGATTGTGTATAATTTCCTAATTAGTTAAAAAGCTTTCTCCAAGCTTTTTTTTTTTCTTTTTGAGAAGTCAGTCATACATAAATGGAAATTAGATAGTAGAGAGTATCCTGGATAAAAAGATATTTGAGACATTGCAGCCAAATTCCTTGATTGAATTTTAACAGTAACCATATTTAAAAGACATTTTGGGAATTAAAGAAGAAAGAGTTTAACAAGAGAAGAAAAAGGCAAATTGTAGAGTGTAAATGAAGATAATTGTAATATGTTTAACCAATAAAAGATTTACATCTGAAATATATAAAGAATTACCTTAAATCAATTAGAGAAAACAGGATAAACTTTAACAGCTACTTCCCTAAAAGATTTCATAGGGTTAATAAACAAATGAAAATGGGAAATGCAAATTGAAGGCATAACAGAATCATCCCATACTCCTAACAAAGATCAGCAGGGAGAATGTGGAGCAAAGGGAGCTCTCATACGCTGCTAAATGAAAATTGGCATAACTTTTGGAAAAAGCAGTAGCCAAGAGGGATCCTTTTGTGAGATCATGCCTCTGCCCTGTGTAGGATTCCTCAGTAGCTTTTCAATTTAGATAATTCCTTAGTGGGACTTAATTTCCCAGTGTTCTAAAATTTCTTATCTGACAGCCCATATCTAATGCCATGACACATAGTAGGATACCTTCTTTCATCACCAGCACTTTATTCTTTTCCCTCACTGTTTTTCTTCATAACACTTTTAACCTCTTGGCACATGTGCTTGGTTTGTCTGTCTTCCCTCACTAAAAGTTTTATGAGAGGCTGGGCGTGGTGGCTCACGCCTGTAATCCCAGCACTTTGGGAGGCTGAGGCGGGTGGATCACCTTAGGTCAGGAGTTCAAGACCAGCCTGACCAACATGGTGAAACCCTGTCTCTACTAAAAATACAAAAATCAGCCGGGTGTGGTGGCGGGTATGTGGGCCTGTAATCCCAGCTACTTGGGAGGCTGAGGCAGGAGAATCGCTTTAACTTGGGAGGTGGAGGTTGTAGTGAGCCAAGATCACGCACGCCATTGCAGTGCAGACTGGGCGACAGAGCGAGACTCTGTCTCAAAAAAAAAAAAAAAGTTTTATCAGAGCAATGTCTTTGTTTTGCACCCTGCTGTATATCCTGATTCTAGAACAGGACCTGGTGTATAGCATGATTTGCATTTTTAAAAAGAGCAAGCTGGGCACGGTGGCTCACGCCTATAATCCCAGCACTTTGGGAGGCTGAGGTGGGTGGATCATTTGAGGTCAGGAGTTCAAGACCAGCCTGGTCAACATGGTGAAACCCCGTCTCTACTAAAAATATAAAAATTACCTGGGCATGGTGGCGCCCGCCTGTAGTCCCAGCTACTCGGGAGGCCGAGGCAGGAGAATTGCTTGAACCCGGGAGGTGGAGGTTGCAGTGAGCTGAGATCGTGCCACTGCATTCCAGCCTGGGCGATAGAGCAAGACTCCATCTCAAAAAAAAAAAAAAAAAAAAAAGGACCAAATGAAAAGGACTTGGGGGAAGAGTACCTTTACCTTCATGTCGGCTTCTTCTCAGTGATTTTTATTTACTGTCCTGGGATATAAGTATCTATTTAAAATTTTTATTAAAATGCCTTATGTCAGCATGAGCTAGATTTCTTCCGTTAGATTTACAGATATGTGTTGTTTCTAGAATGTTTCTAATTGACTTGGACTCTTACTGTAATAGAAATTTACAGACCCATAACCCTTATTAATAAATTGGAGAGGCTGGGCGCAGTGGCTCACGCCTGTAATCCCAGCACTTTGGGAGGCCGAGGCGGGCAGATCACGAGGTCAGGAGATCAAGACCATCCTGGCTAACACGGTGAAACTCCGTCTCTACTAAAAATACAAAAAAATTAGCTGGGCATAGTGGCGAGTGCCTGCGGTCCCAGCTACTTGGGAGGCTGAGGCAGGAGAATGGCGTGAACCCGGGAGGCGGAGCTCGCAGTGAGTTGAGATCACACCACTGCACTGCAGCCTGGGCGACAGAGTGAGACTCCGTCTCAAAAAAATAAAAATAATAAATTGGAAAAATATGGAGGTTACTAAATACAGTTGAAATAATATATAGATAGTGCATAAAATGCCGGCATTTCCAAGTTGAGTACATACATTCTTACCTGAGTTTTTCTTTTGTTGTCTGTCTCTAAGTGGGAGCTGGTGAGGTGGCCAACTTCGCTGCGTATGCGTTTGCACCAGCCACTCTAGTGACTCCACTAGGAGCTCTCAGCGTGCTAGTAAGGTAAGGACACGTTTTTCATGTAGAAACAGTAGTCGGTATCTTAGTTTCTAAAATATTCAGTACCATCTAATTAAATATGTTCAACACAATTTACATTTCAACAACCTGGAGAACTTCGCTTTTTACACTACGTAGTAATTGCTTTTAAAAAGTTACTTCTGTGCATAGGCAGGCTATTGATTTGTGGGAGAAAATGCTTTGTCTTGCTTGTATTCAGAGCCAGTACTAGTTCTACTTCGATTTCAGTTTTTTAATATTCAAAGTTGGCTGGGAACAGTGGCTCATGCCTGTAATCCCAGCATTTTGGGAGGCCAAGACGGGTGGATCACCTGAGGTCAGAAGTTTGAGACCAGCCTAACATGGTAAAACCCTGTCTCTACTAAAAATACAAAAATTAGCTGGGCGTGGTGGCGGGCACCTGTAGTCCCAGCTACTCAGGAGGCTGAGACAGGAGAATGGCTTGAACGCAGGAAGAGGAGGTTGCAATGACCCGAGATAGCACCACTGCACTCCACCCTGGGCTATAGAGCGAGACTCTGTCTCAAAAAATAAATAAATAAAAAATAAGTAAAATTCAAAGTTACACTCATCCCAGTATTTATCATTCAGTGCATGTGCACTTTGGTAGGGTCTGGTTGGTAATGAGTAGATTTCTTTTTCTTTTTTTTTTTTTTTTTTTTGAGGCGGAGTCTTGCTCTGTCGCCCACGCTGGAGTGCAGTGGCACGATCTCGGCTCCCTGCAAGCTCCACCTCCCGGGTTCACACCATTCTCCTGCCACAGCCTCCCGAGTAGCTGGGACTACAGGCACCCGCCACCACACCTGGCTAATGTTTTGTATTTTTAGTAGAGATGTGGTTTCACCATGTTAGCCAGGATGGTCTCGATGTCCTGACCTCGTGATCCACCCGCCTTGGCCTCCCAAAGTGTTGGGATTACAGGCGTGAGCCACTGTGCCCGGCCAATGAGTAGATTTGCATGCCTGGCCTGGAGTGCTTGTTTTGAATGAGTGATCTGAGATTTGTCCCATTTCTGCTTTGTAATGATTAGCCCAAACAACTAAGCCCATATTGATGTCTGGATCTTGGTTACTATTCCCAAAGTAGATTGACTGATTTTTATCTGTTTTTTTTTCCCCAAAAAACTATATGTAAAACAGGGTTATGGTATAAGTCATTGCCCTTTACCCTTAATTTTCTTTGTAGTATTTTGTTACTGTATTTATTGGTTTATGCTGTATTTTCTTTTTAGGTCTAGATAAAACTAGCTACAAGTTATTAAAACCTGATAATGTAATAGGCAAATTATATACAATTAACAACATAAGAGGGGTGCATGCATCAACCAATAGGAATAAGTTGAGTAAATTTTAAGCACTGGTGGTTTGGATAGAGATTCTTTTTTTTTTTTTTTTCCTTTGGAGATGGAGTTTCACTGTGTCACCCAGGCTGGAGTGCAGTGGCGCGATGTCAGCTCGCTGCAACCTCTGCCTTCTAGGTCCTGCCCCAGCCTCCCGAGTAGCTGGGATTACAGGATGCCCGCCACCATGCCTGACTGATTTTTGTATTTTTAGTAGAGATGGGGTTTCACCATGTTGGCCAGGCTGGGCTTGAACTCCTGACCTGAGGTGACCCGCGCACCTTGGCCTCCCAAAGTGCTGGGATTACAGGCGTGAGGCACTCTGCCTGGCCTGGATATAGGTTCTTAATTAGGATATAAATGTATACAAATTTGTTCTTTATTATAAATTTCATACTGACTTCTTGCAGTGGAAAGATGGTAAGTATACAGGTGTAGTGTATGATGAAGCAGATGATTCCCTAGAAATGTTTACATTTTATGATGAAATGTATACTTTTTTTCCTTGGCGAAAGCCAGAATCTTCATAAGTTCACAGTGTTTTAGTTTGATTTCAGTGATTTAAATTACGAGTTTTATTGATATTTGAAAAAGGAAAGTAGCTGATTAAAGTTCTCAATTTTTTTTCCTCCCCATTTTAGTGCCATTCTTTCTTCATACTTTCTCAATGAAAGACTTAATCTTCATGGGAAAATTGGGTGTTTGCTAAGTATTCTAGGATCTACAGTTATGGTCATTCATGCTCCAAAGGAAGAGGAGATTGAGACTTTAAATGAAATGTCTCACAAGCTAGGTGATCCAGGTAAGAAAAAAGTCTTATTAGTCTTACTGTATTTTACTTTTTAACTTAGTTTTTACTTTAATCGAAATTTGATGAGCACATAAGGAAAGAAATTGTTCCACCTGGTAGAAGAACAAATTGTCGTCATGTTCCCTGCTCCCTCCTATCAATCCCAAGCCTGTGTTTCTACTGTTCTTTAACTCTGTGTTTGTAAGTAGTGTGCGTATATTGCTACTACTTACTTCCTTAGCTTTAGGCATTATCTGTTTTACCTTTTATTTACTGTACCTATATAGTTTTCTTGAGATTGTTTACATTATCATTGATACATAACTTTTATTGTCATCTTAGTCTTTATTATGGTTGTTGTTCCTTCCCTGTATAATTTGTTTTTCCAGAAGTAATAATTATCTTGTTTGTGTAGTTTTTTATGAATCGATCAATGTATCATGAAACTCTTCCCCAGTTGACTAATTCTACTCTCAGTAATTTCAAACAAAGAGGTATTCTTTGTTTCATCTCTTTTGGAAATTTCTCTCAGTGCCTTCTGTGTGGCCTCAATCTAGGCGGGTGTCTCCAGGCTGCCAGCACAGCTGTTATCTGCATTTCTCTTCAGCAGCATCCTGGGGATTCCCTTCAGTTTGCTTTTTCTTGGATCCCTTATTTCCAGAATCCTGGGTTTGTGCCTTCATTTTGGTGGTGTCACTCTAGAGGAGACAAGAAAGGGCATGAAGAGATGAGATTTTTTGAGACCTTGTTTATCTCAAAATGTTTTTAACCTATTGTGACCACCGTCTTCTCATTTCTGATGTTGCTGTTGAGAAATTGAACAGTTTATCCCTTATCTTTTATATGCGACCAATTTTTTGTTTTTGGAAGCATGTAGGATGTTCTCTTTCCCCACAGTGTCTGAAATTTCCCACTGACATGCCTAGAGATGGGTCCATTTTTGTCCATTGTGCTGGGTGCCTGATGGTTCATTTTATTTTGAGACAGGGCCGTGTTGCCCAGGCTGGAATGCAGTGATGTGATCTCAGCTCACTGCAACCTCCTCCTCCCCAGCCCAAGCGATTCTCCCATCTCAGCCTTCCAAGTAGCTGGGACTGCAGGCGTGTGCCACCATGCCTGGCTAATTTTTTTTGTTTGTTTGGTAGAAACAAGGTTTTACCATGTTGGCCAGGTTGGTGTCGAACTCCTGATCACAAGTGATCCACCCACCTTGCCTCCCAAAGTGTTGGGATTACAGGTGTGAGCCACCATGCCTCGCCTGATGGGTCTCTCTTTTTTTTTTTTTTTGAGACAGAGTTTTGTTCTTCTTGCTCAGGCTGGAGTGCAATGGCGTGATCTCGGCTCACTGCATCCTCCGCCTCTTGGGTTCAAGTTATTCTCCTGCCTCAGCCTCCCAAGTAGCTGGGATTACAGGCGCCCACCACCACGCCCAGCTAATTTTTGTATTTTTAGTAGAGACAGGGTTTCACCAGGTTGGCCAGGCTGGTCTCGAATTCCTGACCTCAGGTGATCCACCTGCCTCGGCCTCCCAAAGTGCTGGGATTACAGGTGTGAGCTACTGTGCCTGGCCTGATCTGAAAATTTATGTCTGACTCTTGGGAACTGAATTGAATACTCCTTTGATATTCTTGTTTGCTCTTTGTGAGATTCTTATTCATCTGTTTATTGCAGTTCCTGACCTAGATCATTAATTTTCTTATCTTTTCTTTCCCTCATTTTACCATTTTGTCTTTTTGCTCTGCCTTTGGGGAGATTTTCTGTTTTTTCTTCCAGCCCTTCTGAGTTTTTATTTCTGCGGTTATATTGTTAATTTCTAAGAGTTTCTTGCCTCTGTTCTTTGATTCCTAGTTATTTTAAAGTCTTTGTCTGCTAACTTTAGTTTTAGAATTCTTTGTGGGCCTCCTGTGGTGGTGTTTCTCTTTTGGCTTTTAGGCATTTTTTAATTGAATGCTGGATGTAGGATATTAGAAGGTGTAGAGGTTTTAAGTGATGTTTTTTCTTCCTTCAGAGAGAATGTAAATTTCTTCTGGTAGGCAGAAAAGAATACAGTAGCTCACCTTCACCCTGAAGGTATTGTTTTAAGCTTTGTTGGGCCTAGTTTCTTTCAGTTTGCCTTTATTCTTTTTTTTTTTTTTTTTTTTGGAGACAGTATCTCACTCTGTTGCCCAGGCTGGAGTGCAGTGGTGTGATCATGGCTCACTGCATCCTCTGCCTCTCGGGCTCAAGCGATCCTCCCACCTCAGCCTCCTGTGTAGCTGGGACTACAGGTGTGTGCCACCACATCTGGCTAATTTTTGTATTTTCTTTGTTTTTTTTTTTTTGAGATGGAGTCTCGCCGTCACCCAGGCTGGAGCACAGTGGTGCAGTCTCGGCTCATTGCTCCCTCTGCCTCCTGGGTTCAAGTGATTCTCCTGCTTTAGCCTCCCAAGTAGTTGCGATGACAGGCATGCGCCACTGTGCCTGGCCTAATTTTTGTATCTTTTTTTGGTAGAGACAGGGTTTTGTCATGTTGGCTGGGCTGGTCTCAACCTACTGGGCTCAAGTGATCCACCTCCCTCGGCCTCCCAAAGGGCTGGGATTACAGGCATGAGCCACCACACCTGGCTCAGTTTGCCTTTATTCTTATTCATAGCCCTTTGGCTCTCAACTGATAGCTTCAGATGTTGGTTTGGGCCCCTCCACCTGAGAAACTGAGAGCTCCAGGATCTGCTCCTCAGTAACTTGAGACACTAAAATCCCTGCTTAGTCCTGTGGCCTCCTGGCCGGGCTTTCCATTTGGCTCCTCTGACCTTGGCTGTGCAGCTTGTGTGCCAAGAAACACCGTAAGGGGAAATGCACACAGAAATTTGGGCTCACTACTCTATAGTTCCCTCCTTTCTGGGTCTTGTTCCATTCAGTTCCAGCTGCTTAGGCAGCCCCAAATTCCAACTTGTTTTTACCTAGTCCCCTTAAGCTTAGGCCGGTGTTGATTGGCCTTTATGCCATCTCACCCCTTGCATTAGTAGTTGCCCCAAGGGAGAAGGCAGAGGTGAGTGTTGGGCTGATTCTTCTCTTTTCTCTGGATTTTGGCCCTTTAAGTCCTGGCTACTTTGATGGCTCTTTGATGCCCTCAAATAAATGTTTCTTTTTTATTTGTTTGGGGTTTTTTGTTGTTGTAGATCCATCGTTTGTAGGTATTTGGGGTGCCAGGTCAGTCTGTTTCATTGTGTCTCTGAGGATATTAATAATAGTTTTTCTTGCTTTTCTGAGGATATTAGTAATTTTTTTGTTTTTTGAGGGACAGTTGTTTATTTTGAAGTTTTCCTCTGTCTACATGGGAGAAAGAGGCTTTGCACTTTTCTGTTTGTTTTGGCTTCTCTCCTGGTGGTCTTTGGCTATCTTTCTTTTTATTTTTTTGAGACAGAGTCTTGCTCTGTTGCCCAGGCTGGAGTGCAGTGGCGTGATCTTGGCTCACTGCAAGCTCCCCTCCCGGGTTCACGCCATTCTCCTGCCTCAGCCTCCCGAGTAGCTGGGACTACAGGCACCCACCACCAGGCCTGGCTAATTTTTTGTATTTTTAGTAGAGACGGGGTTTCACCATGTTAGCCAGGATGGTCTCGATCTTCTGACCTCATGATCCGCCCACCTCGGCCGCCCAAAGTGCTGGGATTACAGGCGTGAGCCACCACGCCCGGCCTGCTGTCCTCTGTTATGTAAAAGTTGGGCTGGTCAGATCCCCAGCAAAAAAAGCTTCCAGTTTCATGGCTGGCTGTGGGCATCCTGGGAATTGACTGGGGGGAAGGATTAATGCCTGGAGGCATGGTTGACCTCAGCTTCCTGGAACTCTGTGGCACGGGAGGGACAGTCTCCCAGAACTGGGCAGGAGTCTCCTTGTTTCTTGAATGGACTTTTCAGCCAGGCCTCACTTTCAATCTTGCCTTTACTCCACTTCAGAGGCACTTTGTATCTTTTGAGCATTCTGTGCCACAAACTAAATTGCTTTTTCATCTTTTATCACAGCGGATGTGTAGGATTCCGCTTTCTTGGATCTCTGTACCAGTTATTAGTTAGCCTTTGCTTTCTGACTTACGAAGGATTGTTATCTTCGGTCCTCTCTTTTTTCTTGAGACAGTCTCACTCTATTGCCCAGGCTGGAGTGCAGTGGCATGATCTCAGCTCATTGCAACCTCCACCTCCCAGATTCAAGCGATTCTCCTGTTTCAGCCTCCCAAGTAGCTGGCATTACAGGTGTCTGCCACCACGCCTGGCTAATTTTTGTATTTTTAGAAGAGATGAGGTTTCACCATGTTGGCTAGGCTGGTCTCGAACTCCTGACCTCAGGTGATCTGCCATCCTCGGCCTCCCAGTGCTGGGATTACAGGCGTGAGCCACCACACCTGGCTTCTTGTTCTTAATTTTGTGTATTTGTGTCTTTAATAATCTATTACTGCTGGGTGCGGTGGCTCACGCCTGTAATCCCAGCACTTTGGGAGGCCAGAGCGGGTGGATCACGAGGTCAGGAGATGGAGACCATCCTGACTAACATGGTGAAACCCCGTCTCTACTAAGAATACAAAAAATTAGCTGGGCGTGTTGGCGGGCACCTGTAGTCCCAGCTACTCAGGAGGCTGAGGCAGGAGAATGGCGTGAACCCGGGAGGCGGAGCTTGCAGTGAGCCGAGATCGCACCACTGCACTCCAGCCTGGGCGACAGAGCAAGACTCTGTCTCAAAAAAAAAAAATCCTATTACTGTGTATTTTATTAGTGGAATTTGAGGAAGGAAGAGTAAATTCATGTGACTTATCTGGGCCTCAGTTTCCTCATCCGAAAATGCAGGTGGTAGTATCCGTGATAACAGGGTAGTTGAGTGCGAATTGCTGAGAAAAATGCCTGGCCCACAGTGCTACACAGTTGTTGGCTATTATCATGCTGGATTTAATTCTCCGTATTCAACCAGAACCCCAGTAGTATCTTTCAAGTTCTCCAGTTGACTTGCTCGTTACTCCAGCAGTTGTCCACAAATTTTAAAAGTTTCCCCTTTTAGGGAAAACTTGATGAAGAACTCTTGTTTTTGTGTTTTTTGTTTTTTTTAGCATCTATAAATTGTTGAACATTCAAGGCCACCTCATGGTTTCTCCTCCCTAGTTTCTGTGTCTGTTCTGTTCCCACTGTCCCTCTTGCCTGGTGAGCTAGAGCACTTAAGTCGGCATAAAGTGCTGCTGCAAAAATGTTAGGGGTATAACAATTTGTGAATATGAAGCTCGCATTAATCTTCCAGTGTGTCCATCTAAGTAAATTTTTGTGGTTGCATTTCTGCTTGGGCTGCAAAATAAAGCTGATTTTTATTTCCAGGCCATACCTTTTCTCCCTATCAAGTTTATTATATTTTGTTTTGCATTCTGTGTTTAAGAACAACCAACCATTTGACTCATGTAACTTTTCTTTGCCTCCTCCAGGTTTTGTGGTCTTTGCAACCCTTGTGGTCATTGTGGCCTTGATATTAATCTTCGTGGTGGGTCCTCGCCATGGACAGACAAACATTCTTGTGTACATAACAATCTGCTCTGTAATCGGCGCGTTTTCAGTCTCCTGTGTGAAGGGCCTGGGCATTGCTATCAAGGAGCTGTTTGCAGGGAAGCCTGTGCTGCGGCATCCCCTGGCTTGGATTCTGCTGCTGAGCCTCATCGTCTGTGTGAGCACACAGATTAATTACCTAAATAGGGCCCTGGATATATTCAACACTTCCATTGTGACTCCAATATATTATGTATTCTTTACAACATCAGTTTTAACTTGTTCAGCTATTCTTTTTAAGGAGTGGCAAGATATGCCTGTTGACGATGTCATTGGTACTTTGAGTGGCTTCTTTACAATCATTGTGGGGATATTCTTGTTGCATGCCTTTAAAGACGTCAGCTTTAGTCTAGCAAGTCTGCCTGTGTCTTTTCGAAAAGACGAGAAAGCAATGAATGGCAATCTCTCTAATATGTATGAAGTTCTTAATAATAATGAAGAAAGCTTAACCTGTGGAATCGAACAACACACTGGTGAAAATGTCTCCCGAAGAAATGGAAATCTGACAGCTTTTTAAGAAAGGTGTAATTAAAGGTTAATCTGTGATTGTTATGAAGTGAATTTGAATATCATCAGAATGTGTCTGAAAAAACATTGTCCTCAAATAATGTTCTTTAAAGGCAATCTTTTTAAAGATTTCACTAATTTGGACCAAGAAATTACTTTTCTTGTATTTAAACAAACAATGGTAGCTCACTAAAATGACCTCAGCACATGACGATTTCTATTAACATTTTATTGTTGTAGAAGTATTTTACATTTTCATCCCTTCTCCAAAAGCCGAATGCACTAATGACAGTTTTAAGTCTATGAAAATGCTTTATTTTTTCATTGGTGATGAAAGTCTGAAATGTGCATTTGTCATCCCCACTCCATCAATCCCTGACCATGTAAGGCTTTTTTATTTTAAAAAAACAGAGTTATCCCAATACATTATCCTGTGATTTACCTTACCTACAAAAGTGGCTCCTGTTTGTTTGATGATGATTGGTTTTATTTTTGAAATATTTATTAAGGGAAAACTAAGTTACTGAATGAAGGAACCTCTTTCTTACAAAACAAAAAAAAGGGCAGAAATCACCCCAAGGAACGATTTCTCAGGTTGAGATGATCACCGTGAATCCGGCTTCCTCTGAGCATTCGATGGCCTTAGCACCTCATCAAGCCAGCACATCCTGCCTGCTGTTGCAGCCTGGCTGGGTTTATTCTTCAGTTACCCTAATCCCATGATGCCTGGAACCTTGATTACCGTTTTACATCAGCTCTTGTACTTTTCAGTATATTTTCATAATGAGTTATATTGTCATTTAGACTTTGAACAGCTCTGGGAAATAGAAGACTAGGGTTGTTTCTTAAATTTAGCTCATGTTATAATAAAAAGTTGAAATGAAGTTCTTATTCTAAAAGTCTGAATGCTTAGAACAAACTTAACATGTTTATAGAATATGGTCTCTTTGTACCAAGTACTTTGCTTAAGAGCTCCTTTGGGCCACTACATATTTTGGTTTCTAGAAAATGTTTGTTTATGAAGAAGTCGATGGAAAACTGCAAACATATGCAGAAAAGGTAGAATAATAAAAAAGGTCTAATGAACTCCATTCAGCTTTGAACCTATCCACTCATAACCATTGACTGGCCTTTAAAAAAAAGTATTGGCAGAATTAATTTCCACCTAGGTGATGGGAAGAAAGTGTTCGCCTGTTCCAGCCTGTGGCTCCTGCCTGGAGGTTACCCAGTGGTGCGCCAGCGCCAAGCCATCACTCCCCGAGGGCCTCCCCTGCCAATGGTGCTGGTATCCCATGCAGCTCACCACTGGCTGCGTGGAAACTCCCTTTTTTCCAACTTTATTATTGGCCTTCTAAGGAGCTGTTTTAGATGTTTTTTCTAACTGCCTCCTCCCATGCCATTTTAATACTACAGATGTACTACGTATCTGTTTATATACTGTACCTACATCTGTGCTTTGTACATAAAAGAACCAGTTTTCTCCCCCTTGAGGACAGAGACTCATTTGAACATGCATAGGTTAATAAATAATAAATTCTTATTTAACATTTTGTAGCACTTGAGATTGTCTTATACCTAAGGTATTACATATTTGGTATATAATTAAGCCTTATAAAACTTGGTAATTGATTAAGTTTTACCATAATTTTTCATCCTATTCTGTAGTTTCTAAGATAAGCACAGCTACCACCTCTAAATCTGCAGCAGAATGCTGGCCCCAGGGTTATTAATTCACATTACCAAAAGCATTTTTAGGGAACTTTTTATAAAGAAAGAATAATTGTTTGTTAGGCTTCATGTCACTTGAGTGAGTTTGGCAGTGTAACAGGATGGTTCGTACACTTACTACTTTTCTGTGCCGTGCATCATATGCTTCTGGACAGTTTCCAAAGGCCTCCGGAAAAGTAGGCGAGGCCTGCTTTTTATGGCAACTTGGCATCCATAGAAAATTTTAAAATTGGTGAAGGTTGCAATACTCCAAATAATGTAAAATGACTGCCAGGCTACAATATAAAGTGAGTTCAGTTAATCATGCTGGACTTGTGTTTATCTGTAGTATTCATCTACAATAAACAGGCATAGCATCTTTTTCCATTCAGTTAGTTAGGATTTTCAGAACCTCATTGCCTTAGTACTTTTTAAAATATGGCTTTAGTTTCTCAAACATGTTCGTGACTCTACTGGTAGTCTAGACCGATTGTTTTTCATTCTGACAGATCATGTGAACCAGCTCCAGCCATGTGAGCCCTGTGGATCGGGGACAGCTGAAGGCTGGACTCGGTGCTCCCGGTCCCTTTGTGCAGCACCCACTGGGCCTGACTGATCTCCTCCCACATTGCTGGCTTCCTCCAGGTCATGGGCACAGGTAACAGAGAGGCACTGAGTAGCCTCTTCATATCCAGATTGGAGCAGCCAACACGGCCGTTTTACACCTCATTTGCCTGCGGAACCCTAAATATAAAGCTAAACCTGTGCTGAGGTGAGCGGTATATGGGATGGTGTCACGGTCCCATCCCACCTCAGCCTTAGAGGTGACCTCCATCCCAGCTGGCCTGGTATGTGAGTTCAGGTTAGAGTTCCTTGCCAAGCCAGGCAGCACAGGGTTAGAGTAAATAAATGAACACAAATAGATCTCATTAGTTTTATTTCTATAACCTTTCGATCTGATGTCACGTTAGATTTTGTCACAACTGGATTTAGTGGAAGCAGGGGAATCAAGTTCACTATTTTCTGAAACACACAAAAAAGGGATGGGAACAATGACTTAGAACTAAGATTGCTCATAAAAGACCATCAGAAAGATCCCTAAACAAAAGCTAAATAGTTACAGTTAATGGTAACTGGCAAGGGATTTAATGCATTTGCTGGTATTAAGTTTCTTATGGAATGAATGAATGAACCCAGCAGCATTTTATGACACAGCTGCCAGAACATCCCATAGAAAAACAATTTTGTAGGAACGTGATGGCAACAATCAGCAGCCAATATTCTCAAGAGTTCCTAATTACCAAAAGCATATACAATTTTAGTCTAGAAAAATAAGTCAATTTTATAAAATTAAGTTTTTAGATCGAAAAGCACCCCCTTTAACAGGTACAGAGATACTGAAAAATAGTCCCTAAAAATCTCACTAAATAGTTTACGGAGAGAAAGGCATGCCATGTTGAGTTACGGAGTGCAGCGCGTGCCCTCAGCTGCTGGCGAGGGACTGGTGGATGGGCGGCTGGAAGCAGCGCACATGCTCCACTGGCGTGCCCTCCCCGTCGCCTGACTTCAGGTACTTATCCAGGATGGTGATGATCTCATCATTGAGAATCTGGAACTTGCGAATTCTCTCCACCATCTTCTTCAAAGGCTACAACCATCAAAGTGAGGATGTTTTACTATTAACACTTCAACATTTATTCTTCATGTTTCAAAATGTCAGGATTCTTATATTTTCTCAGAAAAATAATAGCAAACGGAATTGACACACATACTGTTCTTTTTGGGTTTTTTTTTGTAAGATAGGGTCTCACTCTGACGCCCAGGCTGGAGTGCAGTGGCATGATCACGGCTCACTGTAGCCTCAAGACATCCTCCCACCTCAGCCTCCTGAGTAGCTGGGACCACAGGCGTGTACCACCACACGCAGCTAATTTTTAAATTTAATTTTGTAAAGACAAGGTCTTATTATGCTGTCCAGGATGGTCTTGAACTCCTGAGCTCAAGCAATCCTCCTCTGCCTCAGCCTCCCAAACTGTTGGGATTACAGGTATGAGCCAGCACTCCCAGCCACATACCATCTCTTTAATGCAACAGTTGGAAGGATGAATATATTTTGAATTTAGAATCCCTCTGTTGGCTTCATGCTGCTGTAGATTCATTCATGCGCACAATTGATAGGCCTATTCCTTCCACATTGGCAATTAAGAACCTACTGTCTGCTCAAAGCTGGGGATCTCCAGATGAAGATGATGTGGTCAGTGGAGAAAGGCCAGTCAACTAACACAAGTTTTAGACTTCCAGTTTGGAAATACTGTGACGGGATACTCTGACAGACCCTCCTGCTACCACAGGAATAAAGAACACGAATTAAGAACATACACGCAAACAAAACGCTTTGAAAAGCTGGTTCTACCTATGCAGGTGGTAAGGGGGAAGCCAGGGCCTCCTCAGGGGCAGATGCCAACAGCGGCGGTGGGGTGAGGAGCAGCCCGGGCGTAAGCAAGCGGGACCACACCGAAGACTCCCCAGTGAAGCCAGGACCTCCAATTCGGCTAAAGCGGCCCTGAGTTGGTAGCACCCCATAGAGATGGGCAGATACAAATGCACATCTTGGGGGAAAGCAATCTAAATTAACTCCAGTTAAATAAAGACTCCCAAATAACCCAACACACAAGGAAACAGCAAAGTTTTAAATACCTCCAAGGCCTTCAGATACTAGAAGGAAAACACACAGAATATAGAATACATGAATTGGATAAAGAAATAAGAGATGGAAAAAGTTCAGTTAAGACAATAAAACTGTCAGTTACCAAGAAGATTTGAAGAACCTAATTGAACTTTAAAAAGTGAACTAATAATATTTTCAGAGTAAAAGCTCAGCAGATTAGAGCTGAAGTAAACAAGTTAACTAAGACACATGAATACAGTATCTGGACACAGCTCTGGGAGCCCCGGAAATGGAGGAGTGGGAGGCAGAAGGGCCCCTGAGAGAGGCCCATGACCTGGAGCCTGTGACTGCATTGCCTCCACTCCACGGGGCCTGGGCAGGTGTGGCTAAGACTGGACTGTAGAACAGGGAGAGTATCTGGGGTTGTCCAGTGGGCTCAATATAGTCACAGTCAGGGAATGTTCTCTGGCCGGAGGCAGGAGAGACATGGCAGAAGACTAGAGGCTGAGACTGCCCAACCCACCATTGCTGGAGGGGGCCACTTGGAAAGCATGAGAAGGAAGGGGGACCCAGTCCTACAGCTGCAAGGAATAATTGAGCCAACTGTGCATAAGCTTGAAGGCCTCCAGGGTGAACCCAGCACCTCAGACACTGGCCCCATGAGACTGAGCAGAGGACCCAGCTGGGCCTGGCTGAACTCAGGCATCTGACTTAGAGAATTGTGAGATAATCAGTGGTATTTAAACTGCCAAGCCTGTGGTGATTTGTTGTCATGGAAGCAATAGAAAACTAATACAACAGGGCTGGGCGCGCCTGTAATCCTAGCACTTTGGGAGGTGGGCGGATCACCTTATGTCAGGAGTTCAAGATCAGCCTGGCCAACATGGTGAAACCTAGTCTCTACTAAAAATACAAAATTACAAAATACAAAAATCAGCCGGGCGTGGTGGCAGGTGCCTATAATCCCAGCTACTCGGGAGGCTGAGGCAGGAGAATCACTTGAACCTGGGCAGCAGAGATTGCAGTGAGCCAAGATCGTGGCATTGCACCCCAGCCTGAGCAACAAGAGCGAAACTGTCTCAAAAAAAAAAAAAAAAAGAAAGAAAAAAGAAAACTGATACAACAAAGAGATGTGGAGAATAGAATGAGAAGGTCTAACATATGTTTAACTGAAGTCCTGAATGGCAAGAATAGGGAGAATGGAAAGGAGGCTGAAATATTTCAAAGATAATGGCTGAGTATTTTCCAGAATTCAACTATGAGGGATCCATAAAGCAACAAAGACAAAAGGCCTTTAAAGCAGCCAAGAAAGCACAGACTTCCAGGGGCCCGAAGACTATAGTTGCCAATATTCTGACAATGCAGATCCTGTAAGACTGGAAGTAAATCTAAGTACCTTGAGAAGGAAAACGGAACAATGAGTATTTTCTCTGCCAGACTGCTTTACTGGCCAATTATATTTAGATTCATTTTGGGAACGAAAAGAAAGTTTCTGTTGGTGGCACCTTACGTACTAGGATGAAAAACATTGCCAGAAACAAGAACTTATAACACAAAGAAAGTATGCTTTTGCAAAAGGTCCATAGATGGTGCGAGATTTTCATCCACATACCACATTTTTAATAATCTCATCTTTGCCATCATGTTTCTGGACTTTAAGTAGATGGTAGCAGAAATCCAGCACAGCAAAACGCCGCTGCTGCCCAAGAAGTACGATGATCATACAGCCAGCCCAGTGTAGCCCATCACCAAAGCACTGCCTAGGAACAAGAAGCAGAAACAGAATGGGAGATGAGTGATACGTTATGAAGTCTTTTCTCAGTCTGTCTCCAGATGTCAGTGACCAAGCCATCTGCATTACTGTCTGTGCCTACACAGTCACCTTCCACAGCCAGGAAGAGAATGCCGGGCAGCCAGGTGGCTGTTCCCTGGTTTTGATAAATAACTTTTTTGGGCTCTTCTGGTGTGCTGCTTCCTGTCCCTTTTTAGATCATATCCCCTCTGTGATGAATGACTCTATGGACCTCCCACCTAGAAAAATGCACGCCCAACGTGCATACAATTGCCGTGGGTTCAGAGACTCCCTGAATACTAGAGTCCTGAGTCAGCTCTTTGGCATCAAGTAAGAATCCCCACTACAGGAGGCTTAAAAGCCGCTCAGTGAGTTTCTGGTCCACTTCCTGAGCATGGCTGGCTGCTTGTTAGCCTAACACGCCTCCCCTCCCCCACAGCTCCTCCCCTCCTCTGGGGCTTTGTCCTGCTCTCAGCACACACTTACTCGACTGTGAACTCGTGTGTCCCCACGGGAATGCAGTAGACAAACTGCATGGCACTCCACAGTCTGTGAAACTCCACACACTCGTCCACATGCATGACCCCATTGCTGGGCAGAGGCCCGCGCCAGATGGGGTCATCCAGAAAGCTCCGGATCCGTGTCAGGATGACCTCAAACATGGACAGGCCGCAGCAGAGGCGCTCCTTTGTCAGCAGGTCCCCCTCTCTTGCGATGGCAATTTGCTGCAGAAAGGACAAGCCGTGGAATGCCGTGGGCCTCCAGGCATCCAGCTACTCCACATCCTCTATGTCTCTTTTCTCTTGAGACAGGGTCTTGCTCTGCTGCCTAGGCTGGAGTGCAGTGGCACAATCACAGCTCGCTGCAGCCTTGACTTCCCAGGCTCAAGCGACCAGGTGCATGCCACCACACCCGGATAATTTTTGTATTTTTTGTAGAGATGGGGTTTCGCCATGTTGCCCAGGCTGGTCTCAAACTCCTGTCTTGGCCTCCCAAAGTGCTGGGATGACAGGAATGAACCCCGGTGCCCGGCCCTGGAAAAATGTTTTGGGTGGAGCGGGTCTACTGGCAGCTAGTGTGGAGGCCAGGGATGCTGCTAACCATCCTACGATGCACAGGGCGCCCCAGCCCCCACCATAGAGTTATCTGGTCCAAAATGGCTGAGAAACCCTGACTTAGCATAAGCAGCTGGATCACTGTAGAACTCTACCCTGACACCTTGCCTCCTGGCCTAATTTCTTCTGTTCTTAAACACCTATGGGAAAGCCTTCTTCATGAAGGGCTGGACAGTGAAAGTGATGTCTTCTGTGTAAGCCTTACGTGCCAGGTGATGTGCTAAGCTCTTTCCAGGTGTTAGCTCATCTGAATCCTCCCACCACCCAGGGAAGCAGTCCTGGTGCACACCCCACTTGCAACACTTGAGGCCTGAGCAGCCACGCAGCCGCTGGACTTCACGATGCCTTCCAGTCTGGCTCCCAACCAGGCCACCTGGCCTGGCATGGATGCCCAGCTTGCAACAGCCACAGCCATCACGGTACACGTTACCTGAGGGGTCCCCAGTCTTTCAATCAGTGGGACAAGATGCAGCGGGGCGTACTTTGATTCTAGTCTTTTCATTTTGGCATCAAGTCTCTCCCCCTCTGCAGTAGAAAAAATATTTTACTATATTCTGCTCCTTTGTATGAAACGGTAATTGCAAAGGTTTACATTTGTTTAAAAAACAAAAGATTTTTAAGTTAACATTATGGATACAGATTCTCTTTGAAAATTATTTTACAGAACTGGCTCATTTAATATTTTAATTCAAACCGGCAGAACCAATTTTCTGCTCAATATTCACTTTTCATTTATTGAATATTCCAAATGTAATCGAAAGCAGAAAATGGCACAATGAGCCTGTACCCATCATCTGCTATAATTATCAACTCATGGCCACTCTGCTTCTTATATACCCAACTCCCCCTGCTCCCATGCTATTGATATTTGGAAGCAATTCTAAGACATCATATCATTGCAGCTCTATTTCTCAATCTTCATTTAACTAGGTTCTGTACACTCCTCATTACCCCTGGGTATGACTGAACAGGCGCCAAACCCACAATCTGCACTGGTCCTTAGCTCTCCGGTTGCATACAGTGGGCACCACCCCCACAGAGGGCAGTCTGGACTCCCTGGTGGGGGTCAGCAGGCTCACCTTTCACATGGACTCGCGGCAAGATGTTCTGGAAAGGAGCCGCGTGCAGCAGGTCACACACTTCTTCTAAAGACTAGAGCAGAGAAAGAGAGGGTCAAGCTAGGAAGGGTATCTCGCCAGAGAGCAATCTGGTGCTGAAAACCAAGAACTTCTTTGCCTTTTAGCATAAAATAAACTCTGTAAGTTTATTTTATCTCTGTCAAGAGATTTCTGGGATGATGGAAATGCTTCCGTCTGTCCTGTCCATTCCGGCAGCCGCCAGCCATGCATGCCTAGTAAGTACTTGGAATGTGGCTTGGCACTTGAGGAACTGAATTTTATTTTTAGTTACATTTAATTAATGTAAATATAGACACAGGTAAGACCCAGTGTTGAATGTGTGCTCTGTTTTCCAGGATTTACCTGTCTAAAAGCTCTCGCCCCATCCTTCCCTGCTAATTTGCCACCAGGCTCTTAAGAACCACAGTTTATGACAAGATCCCACCACACTGACAGAAGGAAGGGGCGTCTCCTGCAAACAACACAGGAGATGGAAGGAGTAGGGGTGGCCTACCCTGGTGTCCACATCCACTCATTCCCTACAGAGCCCAAAACAAAGTTCTAGGCCATCATGCCGAACTGCTCTTGGGTCACAAGCTCCTTTACAGAGGTAATAAAAACCACACAAGGTCCGTTCTCCAGAATAACATATATATATATAAAGAAAATGTACCTCCAGGATCATGAGGACAGCAGAACACCCCAAATCCACCAAGAACCCAAAGATGGTCAAAAATTGAGCAACTGCTGTTCATCTTTAGAGGTGAGGGCTCTTAGGCCACCAGGAAGGGCCTCTTCAGACCACAGTGCGCTCACCACCCCCACGGAGCAGGCAGAAGGTGATGGAGCCTTCAGTGCCTCCGACCCCACAGCCATGCTGAAATCTTAAAGTCCCATAGGAGTAAAAGAAATGATTAAACAAAGAAACAGCTATCAGAAAATCAAGAAATACCGACAATGAGATTTTAACTTCTGAGGACCTCCCAGAGATGATGGCAAAACTAAGACCAAGAGGAAGAAAGGCAGACTTTTCCGTACTCATCAACGTCAATCCAGTGCCAGACGCCGGCCAGACACCATCTGCTCCGCTTCTCTTTCCCTGTTTCTAATGCAGCATCACACTCCATCCAGAAGCCAACAGAGGGCCAACTGTTGCCATGACAATGCACAGAAACCGTGCCTTTAAGCTAAGAGATTATCCTAGTAAATTCCATTCTGCCTGCTTCAAACTCTTGTGGTTCTATAATTATTTATGTCCATGAGTCCTGGGATGGACATAAATAATTATAGAACCACAAGAGTTTGTTTATGTGAAGAATGTCAGGCCAGGTGCAGTGGCTCACGCCTGTAATCCCAGCACTTTGGGAGGGCGAGGCGGGAGGTCGGGAGTTCAAGACCAGCCTGACCAACATGGAGAAACCCCATCTCTACTAAAAACACAAAATTAGCCGGGTGTGGTGGCACATGCCTGTAATCCCAGCTACTCGGGAGACTGAGGCAGGAGAATCACTTGAACCCAGGAGGTAGAAGTTGTGGTGAGTCAAGATTGTGCCACTGCACTCCAGCCTGGGCAACAAGCGTGAAACTCCAGTCTAAAAAAAAAAAGAAATGATGTAAAGAAAAGCTTTTGACACTTTATCTTATTTCCAAAAAGGGCAGCTGGACAGAAGAGAAACCAGCCCTAAGGGGTCTCTGACACTATCTCTATCAATTCCACAAGGCTGTCTCCCCATTAAGAAAGCTCGGGTCTCACCTCCCTGACCTGAGGCCAATGACCAGACAGGCATCCTCAGGCTTGGACATACACAGAGGCTATGGTTTGGATGTGGTTTGTCCCTGCCAAAACTCATGGTGAAATTTAATTGCCAATGTAGCAGTGTTGGAAGGTGGTCCGAGAGGTGATGGATTTCTTACAGGGCTGGGTCAGTTCTCCCACAATTGGGTTAGTTTTTGTGGGAATGGATAAGCTCCTGCGAGAGCAGGTTGTTGTAAGCAAGGCTGCCTCTCATGTTTGTTCTCTTGGCAACACCCGCTTCCCCTTCTCTGTTCCCCCAGAGCTGAAGCAGCATGAGACCCTGACAGATGGGCTGCCTGATCTTGGACTTCCCAGCCTCCAGAGTCATGAGCCAAATAAACTCCTTTTCTTTATAAATTACTCAGTCTCAGGCACTGCCACAGCAACACAAAATGGACTAAGATAGCAGATGAGATAGGGCGCGCCTTATGCTGTAAGTTCAGGAAAAGTCACCCATGAAAGGAATATTCCTGTATTAAATATTTAAAATTCATAATGAGAGATTATACTTAAAGAGATGCTTCCTAACATCTGGTTTTTAACAATTCACAATTATTTGGGGAACATGTCCTTAGAGCAGGGCCACCCTGGACACTGGCTTCTTGCTGGTCTGAGACACTGGTGGGTTCTCCATCTTGTACCCCTCACACTCACAGTGGTGAGGGGAGCATGGGAGGAGATGCTACTTGGGGTCCCCACCGAGCCTGTGGGTGGCCAGGACAATGAAGGCCTGGGGCTGCTGCAGTCCCTCTTTGAAACCACCAGGAGAGGGTCTGCCTAGGCGTGCAGGCATAGAGGGAGCCGAAGATGCAGGTCTGATGGAGGCTGTCAGCTCCCAGGCGTGTCACGCCTGACCTCGGACTCCCCTGACATGTGAGCCAACACATTCTCTTTCACCGCACAGGCTGGTGTGAGGCGGCTGGTCCAGAGGCTCAGTCCCCAGAGGCCTGGCAGTCTGACAGCAATGCCCTGAGCTGTGTACAGACCACCCTCTCCCTGTTCTTCCCAAACACAACTCTGCCTTTGCAAAGCTACCAGAGACCTAAAGACAAGAGACTGCTTTGGGAAACAACATAGGAAAGGCCTCCCCAGGCAGCTCTGGAGACGAAGTGCCATTCCCATGCACAAGCCAATACGCTTCGCCAGGGTATGTGGTGAACCAATCCCCAAACAGGGCAGAGCAGAGAGCCCTGGGGAGGGAACATGCTGAAGAAGAAGGAGCAAGGCAGGGAACGCGGCAAGTGGGGACTCGAGAGTCATGTTAGAGCAACGATGAGCAAGACAATGTGCTATGATGTCAGAGACAGATGCCTGGACCAGCGAGATGTGGCAGAAAGCCAGGAGACAGGCCGGTGTGCCCATGAAAAGCTGGCAGATGGCAGGGGACACCACTGGTCAGCAACGGGAGGAGGAGCCCTTCAGCCACTAGAGGAGGGACAAATGGGTCTCCACAGAGAGAAAGAAGCTTCCTCTGCCTCTCACATTATACACAAAGACCAACTCCAGAAGGATTACAAACTTCCATGCAGAAGGCAAAGCTTCAAATCTTTAGATGACAATGTAAAGGAATGTCTTCATGACCCCAAGGCAGGGAAAACATCTTCAAAAAGATACTGAAAGTTCCATGTGCAGATGGTAGATTAAAAAAAAAAAAAAGTGCTAATCATTAAAAAAAAAAAGGCTACATCCAAATTAAGAGCATTTTATCAAAAATCACCACTATCAGAGTGAAAAGGTAAGCCACAAATGGGAGAAGAATTTACGATATGTGCAGCACATAAAGAGTCTACACAGAATGAGCTGTAGAAAAATAGGCAAAAGAGGCCGGGCGCAGTGGCTCACGCCTGTAATCCCAGCACTTTGGGAGACCAAGGCGGGTGGATCACAAAGTCAGGAGTTGGAGACCAGCCTGGCTAACACGGTGAAACCCCGTCTCTACTAAAAATACAAAAAATTAGCTGGGCGTGGTGGTGGGCGCCTGTAGTCCCAGCTACTTCTGAGGCGGAGGCAGGAGAATGGCGTGAACCCGGGAGGCGGAGCTTGCAGTGAGCCAACATCACGCCACTGCACTCCAGCCGGGGTGACAGAGCAAGACTCCGTCTCAAAAAAAAAAAAAAAGAAAAAGAAAATAGGCCGAAGAACTCAATGGGGCATTTCACAGGAAAAGAAACAAGAAGACGCAACGAACGAAGAGATGCCCACCTCGTTAGTCACGATGGAAGGCAGGAGAGGGCTACCTGAGATTCCATTTCCCACTGGCTTTCCCAGCCCAGGAGGTTATAAACTGAGCTGCTGTGATGTACAGGACAGAGGGACAGCCAGACAGCACCACAAAAAGGCGGCCAGTCGAAAACACGAGGCGTCCACTGTGCCACGTCCTAAGAGGGGG